>NT_187551.1:0-164558 GCF_000001405.40 Homo sapiens | reverse complement strand
GAATTCATCAGCTTAAAATTTGAAATAAAACTCAACTAACTGCCAGAGAAATGAGACCATGTTCAGATGAAATGATCAGAGAAGAGACTAGAATTAAGCTGAGCAATATAGTAGCTAATAATCCCGTGGGGCTATTTAAATTAAAATAAAAATAAAATTAGAACTTCATTTCTTCAGTTGCATTAGCTACATTTCAAATGCTCAAAGGCCCCATAGGGCTTCTAGCTAAAATATAGGACGTGCAGATGTAAGACATTCCCATCATTGTAGAACGTTCTGTTGGACAACACTGATGAAATAATTGCATTTTCCTTCAAGCTAAAATTGAATGCCAAAACCTCAGGGATATAGAACAGAGGATTTCTTGATTGACAAAATGTTGTAGAAGACTTAAGTTCAAATCTTGGTTCCTCTAGCTGCTGACTTGTGTTATTCATTCAGTGAATCACAAATAGCTACTTGCTATAGGGTAACCTAAAGATTAAGAGCACAGTGCTTAAATCCTGGCTGTACCACCTCTGGATTGCATGACTTTGGGCATTTACATTTGTGTTAAATGATAAAATAATTCCATCTACCTACAAGGGTTTCGTGCAGGTTGCAGGGGCTAATTCAGGTAAAGTTACTTAGAGTGTTTGCAACCACATAATAAGCTGTTGGGTTTAGGCCTTGTTATTTTGACCCTGGCAGAACACTAGAGTGCCTTAAGCACAAACAGGGAACACAAATCTGGACTCCAACAACTTTCAGACAAGCTCAGTGAATCTCACCTTCCTGTGAGGTCAACTTCTTTTGTTGGCTTGGCCAGTCTATTTTCTAGGATTATTAGGATGTTCAACTAAGATAAAGCATACAAAGACACTTTTTCAAACTTCACATAAATATATCAATACATTATAATCATTATTCATTTAACAAACAGCTTGGGGTACTGAGTATGTGCAAAGCACTGTACTAGATATTTGGGGACCATAAAACTGACAAATGTCCAGTCTCTATGCCCAGGAATTTGCAGCCTAACACGTGGCATATGCCATTTATACCATGACTCATAATCCATGATAGAACATGGTAAATGCTATAAAACAATGTATCAGTTCAGATCTTTTAAAAAGGCACCAAGATAGGATTTGACATGTAAGAGATTCATTGGAGAAAACAGCATGAAAGATAAAGTGGAGAAAGCAGAAATAGGAAGGGAAAGTCTTCTTATGTTGATGCAAGTCAAACACCTGTGAAAGGAGAAAGGAAAGGAAAGAGGATAGGGTAGGAAGCCTCTCAGATGCAGTGAAGTTTCAAGAAAGCTTCACTCAGGCCAAATGGGAGTCCTCCAGCCAAAGTTGCTCCTTAGAGGAGTCCCAACTCTTGTAGGAACAGGCTAACACTAATACCCCCCGTCTTGTTAGTCACTATCTGGGAACAGCCAGGAAAGGGGTAACTTTGGCAGGAACAGGTACAGGAACAGAGTTCCTTGGCAGGAACAGGAACAGTGGATCCAGAGAGGCAGCATTCAGCGCTGTCGATCAACTGTGTTTTCTCTGGTAGGTGACCCAAACGGCACATTTCCAAGGTGGCCACAAATGGCAAAATAGCAATTGCTTTTAGTTTTAAAGAGGGAAGGATTGTGCCTAAATAAATGGAGAAAAGCGTTATGGAAGAGATCGCCCCTGAGTTGTGCCTTGAATGATAGTTAGGATTTGAATAGAGATTTTGGGGGAAAAGTACTTCTGACAGAAGAGCATCAGCAAAGCCACAGACATAAAAAATTTTTTTTAAAGCATGAAGCATATTTGTAGAAAGTATAAGTGGTACCATAGATCACAGAGTTTGTAACTTTAGAAATAAAGTTAGGAAAGCAAATTGGAGACACATTTTGGAAGCTTTTGAATGCCAGCATAGGAACTAAAATTTTATTAGGTGGATGATGGAGGTCCATCAAAACTAGTGGGGCAAAGGACTCCTTGATGTTAGCTTTTTTTGGTTGGTTTTTTGTTTTTGATATTAATCCAGCTGCTGACTACAGGGAATAAAGAGGTACCCAGGAGGGTTTATTTGGGTGAATAATAAGATGTCTTGGAATGAGTTGCACTGTGTGCTTGGTTCATTCACTTGTGCATTCTTTTATTCATTCAATAGCTATTAATTACACCTGCCAGACCCAGTGCTGAGCATCAGAAGACTAGTGAACACCACAGCCCTTGTTCTACCCCATGGAGTTGTCACCTAGAAAAGTGTGCCTATGTGTTATTTTGCTTTCTTAATCAAAGTTTAATTAGATTTACAAAAAAGTTGCAGATAGTAGAGAGAGTTCCTATGTATGCTTCACCAGCTTTTCTCTTATGTTAACATCATAGAGAACCATGTACATTTGTTAAAATTAAGAAATTAACACTGCTTCAATACTGTTAGGTAAACAGCAGACTTATTTGAATTTCACCAGTTTTTCTACTAATGCCCTTTTTTTAAAAAAAATGTATTTCCATAGGCTATTGGGGAACAGGTGGTGTTTGGTTACATGAGTAAGTTCTTTAGTGGTGATTTGTGAGACTTTGGTGCACCCATCACCTGAGCAGTACACACTGCACCCAATTTGTAGTCTTTTTCCCCTCATCCCCTTTCCACACTTACCCCCTGAGTCCCCAACGTCTGTTGTGTCATTCTTATGCCTTTGCATCCTCATAGCTTAGCTCCCACTTATGAGTTAGAACATACAATGTTTGGTTTTCCATTCCTGAGTTACTTCACTTAGAATAATATTCTTCAATCTCATCTAGGTCACTGCAAATGCCATTAATTCATTCCTTTTATGGCTGAGTAGTATTCCATCATATATATAAAAGATACCTGCACACACGTTTACAGCAGCACAATTCGCAATTGCAAAAACGTGGAACCAACCTAAATGCCCATCAATCAACAAGTGAATAAAAAAACTATGATATATATATATATATATATGTCAGATGAATGTCCATAATAAAAAAAATAGATGTTGACGTGGATGCAGTGAACAGGGGACACTTCTACCCTGCTGGTGTTGATATAAACTTGTACAACCACTATGGAAAACAGTGTGGAGATTCCTGAAAGAACTGAAAGTAGAGCTACGATTTGATCCAGCAATCCTATTCCTGGGTAATATCCTTTTTCTGATCCAATCTAGGATACCACATTACATTTAGCTAAGCGGTTTACAAAATTTAAAAACGGTACTTTATTTTAATGGTATTTTAAGGAATTTTTTTTGCTATGTATAGTCAGTAGAAAACCTCATTTTTTTGTATACAGTTATGTATATAAATAAAAGCAATACATCTTAGCTGTTAGTTATAAAAGTGTGTAAGTAGTTTTCCCTTGAGATCAAGTGCTTCCTCCAGTATTGTTTACTCTGTTCATTTGCTTAGCATTTTTCCAAAATAAATGCAAAAGTAAACTTCGACACTGCTCATGTTTGAATTGGCAAAATGGTTGAGTATGATCTGCTGAAACGAGGCCTCATTCTATAAACATGACTGCCTTCAAGTTGAGTTGCCACAGCGCATCAACCTGCCTCTCGCCATGCCACTTGATAGGAGAATACAGTTGAAGAGAGTAATCTATTCATCTGATTCCAACAGTAGCTCCTATTTTAGGATGAGTGCAGTGTTTTTCATAACTGTAAGAGTGCAACGAGGAACTAAGAGGTCATTGGGATAAAGCCTTCATTTTATCTCAATCACACAAGTAGAGAAAATTTGAGATTTTAGGTCTCCTAATGCCTGGACTCAACCCCCTTTCCCTACACCAGGCTGCCTGGAGGAGAATACTTGTACTCTTTGACTCTCCTTCACCAAGAAGCCAGAACTCTAAGATTACTAGTTGGACTGGAGCCCTCTGTGCATTTATGCAGGACAGCCAAAGAATCACGGAATATCTATATGATAACATTCATGCGGTCATTAAAAATGTATGTTTCCGAAGGTTTACTAAAAATATATCAGGTAAAATATACATTACATGCACAAAACCATCTTTTTTTGGGAGAAAACAAAGCTGCATAACATAGAGGAAAAAATGGAAAGGAAATATACAAAAAATGAAAAGTCTGGATGATAGGCTCACAGGAAGCTTTAATTTTCTATTTTTAAATCCTGCAATACATCCAAAATTTCTATAATAGATAAAAAAAGGGAAAAAGTAATCAAATAATGTGAAAGTGAAAATTAAAAAATAATGTGGTGATTTGGGGAACAAAACAAGGTGCGGTTTTACTAAATAAAAGTATATACGTGATAATAGATAACACCCTGATAGATTATCTACCTCTTTGATGTCCCCTTCGATAGACTGGGACTCCCCCTCCAAGAGTCGCATAGGACAGGGGTCGTCCCATCCACTCAGAGGCTGCTGTGAGGATCACATGAAATCAACTGAGTGGAAGCCTTTTGAAAGTCATGGAACTCCCACACGAGTACAAAAATAAATACAACAGATACAACGAACTTTCTAGTAGGGGCCACATGAAAAATGTTGTAGACTCTGAATGATCTTGTTATTTGGTTTAAAAAACAAATTGAGACCAGTGCAGTGGCTCATTCCTGTAATCCCAGCAACTCATGAGGCCAAGGTGGGAGGATCCATTGAACCCAAGTGTTTGATGCTGCAGTGAGCTGTGATCATGCCGCTGCACACTTGTCAAAGCAACAGAGAGAGACCCCACCTCTAAAAACATAAATAAATAAGCAAATAAAATAAGACAAAAAGTTAAAGTAAGAATATAGCACAGAGTAATGCATCTTACTCTCAAAGCCATGGATTTGCACTTCTCTTCCAAATGTGTGCCCTGGGAGGTCTCCAGTTAAGCAAAGGAAGTCTGCACTTCCCCAGGGTCAGGGCCAAGGCTTCAGGGCTGTCATTGCTTGCCAAAGACATTGCTTTCCAAAATAAGGGTGGCTGTGTAATTTAAGAACAAATTTTTCTTTTTTAATGGCAAGAGGGCTGAATTATTTCAGAAGTTTAAACCAGATCTCATAAAATCTATCTCCAATTCCTCCATGTCGTCAGTTGCTCCCTTTAACATTTAAATAGTCTCCTTTTGAGGGTATGTTTGTGAAGTTTTCTTTCTCCCTGATGACTCTGTACCTTTTTCGCTTGTAAATTCATCACTACCCAGTCTCCAGCTGACAGTGGTGCAAAATAAATGCAGTAAAACAACTCCCAAGGTTTCAGAATCATTGAAAGGTTTTTACCAAGGGAATTGATGAGTCAGGAATAATATCCCAGCTGGGTTTTTATTCTGAGTTAAAATATACAAAGGGGCTTTGAATATTTACACTCTCAGCTTTTACAGAAATACTATGCACATTTTGAAAGCTCATATTTATTTTTAGAAGAAAGGAGAAATTAGGCTAACAATGAAAGCAGGCTGAAAATTATGTATAAGTCAGAAGCATATATTAATATTTAGAATGAGGCTGAGTACTTGCTGACCAGATTCGCTTTCTCAGTTTTGCATTTTTGGAAGGAGAGGAAGGAAAGTGATGACAAACCATTTAGTTGGAGGCATGAAAACCAGGCTGTTGTTTCTTGGGCTATTGTTAGCTGCTTCTTTCTGTGGTTGAGGAAAAAGTAGTAATTCTGCACTTCATTTTGGTTATAATCATTTATTTTTACAGGTACCATATTGAACTTGCAGAAAAACAGTTATTTTCCTTCAATCCAGGGAGATGTCTATAGTGTTTAACACTGATTATCAGAAAATGAGTATAGTTATGGTCAGTGGGCTAGATACTGCAAGACTGATGAATTTTAAAAAATCAACTTACACAACAAAATTAAAATGGGCGAATATAATTTTCCACAGCAAAGAAGAAAAAAGCATGATTATATAAGGTTAAGAAGTATAAAAAATATGCTGTTACAGTTAAAATAGAAAATCTCAGTAGACTGTCTTATAAACTAGCCAGTACTCAATGTCGTGATTCAGAATAAATAAAAATATGACAAGAAAGACCAATTACCAAATTGTGTCTGATGTTTATGGTCTCAGTGTCTTCAGGGAAGCTAATCAATTAATATTCCCAAGGTTTCTTTCTTCTCTTATATGACAAGATGCTAAAAGCTATTATCATTTTTTGTATTTCAAAACAGTTGTATCAATAGTTTAAAGTTTCTCATTCTCTCAATGTTTCTGAAACCAGAAAAACTATAGCTTCTAGTTTTAACCTAATTTAAATCTAAATTAAGGAATCGGGGCCTATATATTCATTTTTTACATATATGTGTGTGGGATGGGCCTTCCTAAAGTTAATGGAAAAATAGAATTAAAAGATAAAAATTAAAAAGAATAAACTTTATTTCTTAATGTAAGCTCCATTGAGTTCATTGCTTACTTTTGTAAGCAATGATACCAGCCGTTTAGCCCATCCCTAAAGAACTGGGGGTCCTGGAGATTTAGCTATGTCAATGCAGCCTTTTTTACAATATTAACTGAAAAACCATGGGTGCCCTTTATAGATTTTTTAAGATTAGGAAACAGAAGTCAGAAGGAGCTAAATCAGGACTCTGGGATTGATGCCTAAAGATATTCCATCAAAATTATCACAACATTGCCCTTGTTTGATGATAGGAATGAGCAGAAGCATTGTTATGGTGGACAAAGACTTCCTGGTGAAGCTTTTGTGTGTTTTTCTGCTAAAGCTTTGGCTAACTTTCTCAAAACACTCTCATAGTAAGTAGATATTATCAATCTTTGGCCTTCCAGAAAGTCAACAAGCAAAATGCCTGAGCATCCCCAAAAAAACTGTTGTCATGGTCTTTTCTCTTGACCTGTCTGCTTTTGCTTTGACTGGACCAATTCTACCTCTCGGTAGCCATTGCTCTGATTGTGCTTTGTTTTCAGGATCATACTGGTAAGGCCATGTTTCATCTCCTGTTACAACTTTTTGAAGAAATGTTTCAGGATCTTGATCCTGCATGTTTAAAATTTTCATTGAAAGCTCTGCTCTTGTCTGCAGTTGATCTGGGCACAATACTTTTGGTACCCATTGAGTGGAAGGTTTGCTGAACCTTAACTTTTCCATCAGAATTGTGTGAACTGAACCAACTGAGATGTCTATGGTGTTGACTATTGTTTCTGCCATTAATTGTCAGTCCTCTTCAATTAGGGCATAAACAAGATTAACTTTTTTATTTGCAAACTGATGTAGATGGTCTGCCCCTGAGGACTTCATCCTTAACACCATCTGGTTCCTTCCTAAAATGAGTTATCCATTTGTAAACTGCTGATTTCTTTGGGACATTGTCTTCATAAAGTTAAAAAAAAATCAGTGTTTCACCATTCTTCTACTGAAGCTTCACCATAAATTTGATGTTTATTCTAGCTTCAATTTTAGTAGAATTCATGTTGCTCTGTTAGGGGCTCTTTTCAAACTGATGTCTTATCCTTCTTAGTGCCTCAAACTAAATCTTCTTCAGACATGCTATAACAAGTTAGTATGAGTTTATATTGCTTCAAAAAATTTTTGGAATCCATGCATAATTTTTTCATAATATGCATTTTCCATTAACATATTGAAGACCGTGTGTGTGTGTGTGTGTTTGTGTGTGTGTGTGTATAAACATATATATTTGAGTTCTACATTGTTCTTACTTCTAACTCAATGTAAGGCTCATTAACATGTTTCTGCTATCATTAGGATTCAGAGATATAACCTGGGAGGAGACATCTGGCTAAGAACAGGGAGCTGACTGGCTCTCTGTATTAATGTTCTAATGAATAAAAAATTTTCACAAACTTAGCTGCTTAAAACAACATCAGTTTATTATCTCACAGTTCTGTAGATCAGAAGCCTGGGTAAGCTGCACTAGGTTTTCTGCACAGGGTCTTACAAGGTTGAAGTCAAAGTGTTAGCAGAGCTGTATTCTCATCTGGAAGCTCAGTGGGAAGAGCCCGCCTCAAAGCACATTCAGGATGTTGGCAGAATGCAGTTCCATGTGGTTATAGGATTGAGGTCCCTGCTTTCTTGTGGACTGTTGGCCTGGAGTTGCTCTCAGCCCCTAAATGTCACTCTCAGGTCCTTTCAAGTGGCTTCCTCCACCTTCAAAGCAGACATTTCTTGTGCTTTGAGTTGCTCTGACTTTCCCTTCTACTACCAGCTGGAGAAAATTCTGTACTTTTCAAGGGCTCATGGAATTTGGTTAGGATCAACCAGGTAATCTCCCTTTCAATTAACTCAAAGTGAGCGATTAATAACCTTAATTATTAATATATCTGCAAAATCCCTTTGCCATGTAACAGCACATAATCACAGGGATGACATCAGGGGACCAAGATCATGACAGACATCTTGGATTTGCCTACTATGCTCTCACAGTTAAGAGACCCAAGAATTATAATCATCTAAGAGCTGGCTTATGTCTGTGAGCTTTGTCCTTGTGCAACAGTTCTGTCATTCAGACATAGGATGCTCAATGTCTCCTACACCTTGGCCTGAAGCTAGCACCATTCTCATTCCCTTTGCCCTTGTGTCCAAAGCCTCATTCTGGGCCTGAAACTGCCAAGCAGCCACTCGTGCTTAACAGAATACCTCCTGTGAGTCTACTCCATGGAAACCTAGTTCCATGTCCAGGAAAAGTGACACTTTGTGTGATGGCTGACTGACAAATACATAACATGTCTGTGTGTTCTGGCTCCCTTAGCTGGCTGAGTTTCTGCAGTGAAGATCACACCTCTGTTTCATGTTTTATTTCAGACTCGCAGGGCAATGACATTAAAGTCACTGCTGAGAGCACTGGTGAACATGCCTCCTCACTACCGCTACCTTTGCATCAGCCACCTCATTGGATGGACAGCCTTCCTGTCCAACATGCTGTTCTTCACAGATTTCATGGGCCAGGTAATGAACGTGTCTGTGCACACAATCACTGTTACACATCATTTCCTCCATTAACACCTGTTGAGGTTCTTCTGGGCTATCCTCTAAGATTGGCACAGTAAGAATGTAGGAAAGGGTACCATCAAGAAGCTGACTTACAGACAGGTGTAGAAAAATGCTACTATACCCTGGACAACTAGAGGACACTACGGAGCCTGCCAGTATTTAATCAAATACAACAAATAGTTGACAGTGGGGTGTTAAAGTCTCCCATTATTAATGTGTGGGAGTCTAAGTCTCTTTGTAGGTCACTCAGGACTTGCTTTATGAATCTGGGTGCTCCTGTATTAGGTGCATAAATATTTAGGATAGTTAGCTCCTCTTGTTGAATTGATCCCTTTACCATTATGTAATGGCCTTCTTTGTCTCTTTTGATCTTTGTTGGTTTAAAGTCTGTTTTATCAGAGACTAGGATTGCAACCCCTGCCTTTTTTTGTTTTCCATTGGCTTGGTAGATCTTCCTCCATCCTTTTATTTTGAGCCTATGTGTGTCTCTGCACGTGAGATGGGTTTCCTGAATACAGCACACTGATGGGTCTTGACTCTTTATCCAACTTGCCAGTCTGTGTCTTTTAATTGCAGAATTTAGTCCATTTATATTTAAAGTTAATATTGTTATGTGTGAATTTGATCCTGTCATTATGATGTTAGCTGGTGATTTTGCTCATTAGTTGATGCAGTTTCTTCCTAGTCTCGATGGTCTTTACATTTTGGCATGATTTTGCAGCGGCTGGTACCGGTTGTTCCTTTCCATGTTTAGCGCTTCCTTCAGGAGCTCTTTTAGGGCAGGCCTGGTGGTGACAAAATCTGAACAGACACTTCTCAAAAGAAGACATTTATGCAGCCAAAAAACACATGAAGAAATGCTCATCATCACTGGCCATCAGAGAAATGCAAATCAAAACCACTATGAGATATCATCTCACACCAGTTAGAATGGCAATCATTAAAAAGTCAGGAAACAACAGGTGCTGGAGAGGATGTGGAGAAATAGGAACACTTTTACACTGTTGGTGGGACTGTAAACTAGTTCAACCATTGTGGAAGTCAGTGTGGTGATTCCTCAGGGATCTAGAACTAGAAATACCATTTGACCCAGCCATCCCATTACTGGGTATATACCCAAATGACTATAAATCATGCTGTCTATAAAGACACATGCACACGTATGTTTACTGCGGCACTATTCACAATAGCAAAGACTTGGAACCAACCCAAATGTCCAACAATGATAGACTGGATTAAGAAAATGTGGCACATATACACCATGGAATACTATGCAGCCATAAAAAATGATGAGTTCATGTCCTTTGTAGGGACATGGATGAAATTGGAAACCATCATTCTCAGTAAACTATCGCAAGAACAAAAAACCAAACACCGCATATTCTCACTCATAGGTGGGAATTGAACAATGAGATCACATGGACACAGGAAGGGGAATATCACACTCTGGGGACTGTGGTGGGGTCGGGGGAGGGGGGAGGGATAGCATTGGGAGATATACCTAATGCTAGATGACATGTTAGTGGGTGCAGCGCACCAGCATGGCACATGTATACATATGTAACTAACCTGCACAATGTGCACATGTACCCTAAAACTTAGAGTATAATAAAAAAAAAAAAATTAAAAAAAAAAAAAAAACTTTTGCTCAATAGAAATTAACTTGTTAGCTCCGGCCTGTATGAAATACATTAAAAATGAAATTCTTACAGCCTGCAAAGTCTTCCAAGGGGGTAAAGTTCCACATTATATCACACACATATGCATTTTTGTTTGCTTTACTGTGACTTGGATTTACTACAGAGACCTCTAATTTCTTAAATGACTTTTCACTTATCTACAGATGGAAGAATAGGACACGTAAATGCATCACTCATAATTGAGTGTTTGTAATACCTCTCACATCTTGAATCAAAATAAGAAATAAAATGCTGAAACTACAAAAAAAAAAAATACAACAAATAGGGCCAATTGATGTGAGCTGTAGCAATCATGGCAGGCTTCAAAAAGGAGGGGTGGGGTTCAGGCCGGGCATGGTGGATCATGCCTGTAATCTCAGTGCTTTCGAGGCCAAGGTGGAGCAATCATTTGAGGCCAGGGGTTCAAGGATGCGGTGACCTATGACTGTGCCGCTGTACTCCATTCTGAGTGACAGACCAAGACCCTGTCTCTTAAAAAATAAAATATGATAATAAATACACATAAAAAAGGAGGTGCAGTATGGTCTGGGCCTTGAAGGGTGAGTAGGAGTTAGAGGAATATTAGAGAGGGAGAAAACATTCCAAGCAGGAACAGGAATGGCCCATGTGGAGATGAGTCAGAAGCCGATTGGCTGTAGCAGAAGATGAGTGGTGGGATTTCCTAAGTCAGGTGGGGCCAGCTGTGAGATGGAAGGAGGAATGTTAAGGATCCAAGAGAGTGTTGTTGAGATCTGATGCAGCAAGCATTAGATTTCTGATAGGTCCTTGAATGAAGATGTGATAGGATGCGACTTGGTCATGACAGCATCAGCTCTGTACTCTAGAAAGGGTCCCTCAGGCAGGGACATTTGCTCCCCAGAGGTGGAGAAGCAGAGTGCATGAGAAGGGTTCTTACTACATTGCATTTGTACCTCAACAGCCTCCAATCTCTCTTTCAGATTGTGTACCGCGGGGATCCCTATAGTGCACACAACTCCACAGAGTTTCTCATCTACGAAAGAGGAGTCGAGGTTGGATGTTGGGGCTTGTGCATCAACTCCGTGTTTTCCTCACTTTATTCTTGTAAGTCTTTCTCTCTCCTAAGGATGTCTTCTAAAAGTTTCTGGTCTAGCACAACTTGGATTTGATATTTCTATGTGTATTTCCTACTGTTTAAAATACCAGATTCTTAATAAATCTATGGACGTCAGGAAAAACTATCACCTTAAAAAGGACCATATAAAGCATCCTTTTTTCATCATGAATTCTAGGTGTCATTTCCTCACTGATTACTTTGCTCTTGGAATCAGTGGGTTCCTGATCAAGTTTCTCTGGAAAATGAAAGGGAATCTTTACAAGATGAAGTGTTGGATGGATGAGTCCCAGCAGGTTCGTGTTCTACTGGAGCAAGATCATTGGTAGCATTTCATAGATAGGCTTATCAGATTTGTAGATGATACAGAAGAGAAGCAATATTAATATGACAGGTGACAAAGTCAGCATGCAAAATGACCTTAGCTCAGATGTGTAACTGGGTGGGTTATAGGAGCACCACACCAGGATTGGGGACAGCTGGCTTTCCTTCCCAGGTGCCAGCTTTTCTGAGCCTCTTAACCTCCACTTACCTAAGTTGCAGCTGTGAAGACACTGAACAAAGGGATTTCTGCTATTGTCTTTATGTAAGTCCAGGTGGCTGTGCTATAACTCCAGGGCATTGCACAGGCTGCATTGTACTTGCGACTGTGTATGGATATCTCCAAGCTCTGTATACATTGAGTTAAGTGAAACGTCTGGCCTGAAAAATGTATGCAGTTCTCCTAATTATAAAGAGCTCCTATAAAGAGCTCTTCTTCTGCAAGATTGTAAGAATAACTGACCCCCAATTCAGGGCTCTGGGCTTTGGACAGGTCCAGGGGACAGCAGGGATATGGCCCAGGTGAAGGAAGTGGGAAGAGATGGGGAGAATCCCTGTTACCATTCTCAGGAGGACTCACTCTGTCACTGTCAGCCTGCTTCTTGTGAAGGGAAAGTGTGGATGTATGTGAGGGCCCCTTCCCCTTCCCTTTACCTAGCCATAGCACAGCAGGAAACCTGCCTCAAGACCTCTTAAAAATTTAGCCCAATTGGGAAAATGGGACCTCATATAAACATGCAAGTTGATGAGCCCAATAATCACGTAACAACAACATTCATTATTTTAAAATTTATGATACTCAAAGAGTAGTGCTTAAAGATCACATTTATTTAGCAAACTCTTTTCTTCCTCTTCGAGTGTGCAAACTAAGAAAAAATCCAGGAGGAAGATTTCAAGCACTTAAAATAGAATAAAAGAATGTTAGACTAAAAGGGTCTAGTAAATTATCCAGCTTAAGTCCTTCATGATTTCAAGGGCTGAGGGGACTATTTACCACTACCCTCATGCTTTTTTTTGTTTTTCTTCTTTTTTTAAGACAAAGTCTCACTCTGCCACCTGAGCTGGAGTGCAGTGGCATGATCATGGCTCACTGCAGCCTCAACCTTCTGGGCTCAAGCAAGTCCCAGCCCTCTGAGTACCCGGGACCACAAGCACATGCCACTGTGCCTGGCTTATTAATTTAAAAAAAATTTTTTTTTTAGAGATGGGGTCTCCCTACATTGCCCAGGCTGGTCTCGATCTCCTGGGCTCAAGTGATCCTCCTGTCTCAGCCTCCCACAGTGCTGGGATTACAGGCATGAGGCACTACATCCAGCCCTACCTTCATCTTTGTCAGAAAGAAAAGTGTCAATCTAAACTTATTTTTCCTCAGGGAACTCCTACTAGATAACATTCCATTAGTCTTGTCCGCATAAATTTTATGGCATTTGAAACTTTAAAGCATATTATTTTTAGGTCCCTTCTAGTTAAAAGCGTTTCTAGTTACAAAAGAAATTATTAGTTGAATAGTTTTCCAAAGTTTTATTAATGTATAAATCTATGGGATCCCTACCATTGTTAATTCAAATCAACATTTTATTTATAAAATACCAGCCAGCTCTGCTCAAGGATTTTAGGGATTCCCCATGCCCATAGGATAAAGTCAAATTCCTGAGCTTTTCACAGTTTGGCCTAGTTCATACTTTGCCCTTTTTCACTCCCATATCAATTAACCACCCTCAATGACCCACTATGCAGACTTTCTCATTTCTGGGTATTTGCCACTGCTTTTAGTTTCTTCTGCCTGAACTGCTCTTTCTACTTCCCCAACTGGACAACTTCTAATAATATTTTTAGACCCAGCTTAAATATTACTTCCTCAGTGAAATCATTCAAGTTTTCTTCCCCCTGCACCTCAACCCACTCTGGGCAGAATCAATCCTTTCCTTTCCTTCCAGAGCTCACTATATTACCCTCTATTTTGGATTCATCACATAACATCAGGAGCAGATTCAGAGTTTCTATCCACATGGAGGTTGGCAGGACAATCTGGCTGCTGAGGTGGAGAGTGCTGATAGGGACTTGTTTCTAAGCTCCTTTTGTATACAGCAGGTACAGGTATACCAATTAGAACAACAACACTGAGTACTAAGATATGGCCTATTGTTCATACCATAATATCATACACTACTAGTCATAACTGGTGCTTAAATCTATAATTTCCCCTCAGTCCTGAAGAGAGGCATTGTGTGAGGATATGACTACCACTGGGTATCAGACCCATCAGAGGGCAATTCAAGCTTGGCCCTGAAGTTCACTGAATTATCTTTGTGAATAAAGTATTCTTTGCCAGACTTTCAGTCTCTGTACTGAAGTTACTTATGTTTCCAAATACCTCTTTGCCCTACTTTGCCTTCTCCTCTGCTGGCATACACACTTGGATAAGAGCATTTCCCTAATGGGTATTGATGGTATCTTTTAGGTATTGAGACACCTTAGATTACATTTTCTGTATAAATATAATTATTAAGCAAGCAGAAACTGTTCTAGCTTTATTCTCATTTTTGTATTCTCAACCTTAACAACAGTCCTCCAGTCATGGTATAAGTTTAATAGAGGAAGCAATGTTGCCTACTTGTCATTTCCAGATCTTTGTCTTCCATCAGTGTGAGAGTGTTTAGTTTCATAATTGATTCAAATGTACTGCAAATAAGGTTGCTTGTCTACAAGGTGTAAGTCCAATAATTATATGAATAGATATGGAAAATGTCATTCTTAATAGTCACGTTTCAAGTATCTGTTATTTATCCTCTGATTCTTGTGTTCCAGGAGAATGGGGCAGGGAAGAGATGAGGAATGTGTGGATTAAAAACGACTGAGGGAAGAAGATAAAAACAATTTAGAGATTTTCCTTGCCATTGTAGAAAACCTTGTAAAATGTTTTAAAGCAGAATTTTTCATTTTTAAAAATTAGTTCTGCCACTATACTGATATAAGCAAGCCAAGTTGACCTGCTAGAAGAGGAACCCAGTTAAAAGTCAACTGTCTCCAGCTCAGCCTGTCTTGTTGCTTAATTGGATGTTTTCTACATGCTAGGCATTAAGCTGGGTGATTTCATAGACACTTCATCTCACTTGATCCTGGCAACAACTCCAAAAGATGGTTTTATTATTCCCAGTTTTCAGATGAGGAAGCTGGGGTTTTGAGAAGTCAAGGAACTTGTTTACCAAGAGTTAGGGAGCCAGCGATGAGGAGATGCTGGGTGCTGTGGGAGCCCCTTACCAGTCTGGGAAGGATTGGCAAGTCAGGGAAGGTGTCTTCAGATAATTGTACATCTTTTACCTCCTTCTCAGGTGTGCAGACTCCATTCAGATGGGGGCTAAGAAATCATGAATGACTTAGATCATTCTGTAAATTTTGGTTGTTTCAATTTTCCCCAACCTGACTTTGGGTTGTAGGGCCAAGATAGGCCTGTGTTATTATTTTCGTCCTATGGGGCCACAGCCCATCTGATTTAGAATAACCCACACTTTTCTTGAAGCCCCAGGTTCCCATAGTTAGGTCAGATTTTCCACCACCTTTCTCGCTTCTTTTTGCTATCCAGCTGTCTGCTAAACAGTGCCAGATTCTTCTTTGTAGAAAAAAAATCAGCCTACCAAGGCAATTTCAAGCTGTCCTTTATGGAAAGGTCTTTAAAATGGTTCCAAAAGCCAGCTGTTTTCAACCCACAGATAAGGGGATTCTTTTGTTCCTGGCTCAGTATCAAAGGATGTCTAAAAAGGTGAATCTTCAGAAGAAAGGATTGTCTGAAATTATTAAATGTTATGAGGCACTGCCAGCTGTAATTTCTCCCTCTCTTCTTCCCACAGACTTTCAGAAAGTTTTGGTATCCTACATTGGATTAAAGGGTCTTTACTTCACGGGATATTTGCTGTTTGGCCTGGGGACGGGATTTATTGGGCTCTTCCCGAATGTCTACTCCACCCTGGTCCTGTGCAGCCTGTTTGGTGTAATGTCCAGCACCCTGTACACTGTGCCCTTTAACCTCATTACTGAGTACCACCGCGAGGAAGAAAAGGAGGTGTGCTGTCATTGAACCTCTGCCTTGGGTAACATCCAGACTCATCTGAAGGCTGGGGAGGATTTGGTAGCAATGTGTAGAGCAGAGCTGGAAAATAAGGGTTCTTGAAACAGCAACAGTCAAATGCCCAACCAACTGCAACCATGATCTGGTACAGGCATGCTCACCAGCCCAGCCCAGCCCAGCTGTCCTGTCCTCCTTATTCTCAACTCCTGCTCACTTAGGGAGCTGTAGGGCAAGAAGTGTTACTCCCATTTTTCTAATTAGAAAAAGGCTTGGTGAGGCTGAGAAACCAGCCCACAATTACACAAAGACAAAAAAAGGGGGACCCAGGTCTTCTGTAACCACCTCATAGGTCTCCCTGGTGCCACCTGCAGCATTTCTAGATACCGACAATAAGGGTCTCCCTATCCCCAACTTTCAGAGGTACATAGTGGAATTTCTTGGCATTATTTGCTGAGGGTAGGAAAGTCCTAGGCAATGGAGTCCAGATTTTAGTAAGTCAGACCCCATGTGTGAGAAGGAAAGCTGGAATCATGGGTGGTAATCCCCACTTTGCTGCCCTGAGCGGGACCTGTGCCATTTAAACCTTGGAACGCAACTAGTGAACAAGCGCCTATGCAGTGCTTATAACAGAGTTGGTGTTTCCACTCTAAAATTACCACCTCTTCTTATCAAAATTTGCAACTTTCTTCCTGTGAAAATAGGCTTATAGTTCCTTAACTGGAGCAATGATATAAAAGCTACAGAGATAACTCCAAGTTTAATCCAGCTCAGCATGAAACTGCAAAAACACTGAACATATAACCATCAGACTATAATTCTGGCCATGTTTTTCATCATTTGATCTGGCAGCA
Source organism: Homo sapiens (assembly GCF_000001405.40). NCBI lineage: Eukaryota > Metazoa > Chordata > Mammalia > Primates > Hominidae > Homo > Homo sapiens. The sequence continues at coordinate 147,627 of NT_187551.1, read as the reverse complement.
GGGCAGAGGTGCACCAGGAGTAAAAACCTTTCAAAAAAGAGGTGTGGCTTTCCTCATCCCCTGGCAAACATTGTCACCAAGGTGGGATGTTGCTGCTAATGGGAGAGTCATCATAAAAAACTGTCCCTACAAGGAGAGTGTTACATGGTGTTGGGGGAAGAAAACCTACGCTTCAGGCTCAGAGAAACCTGGATTCAAATCCTGCCTCTCTCACTTGGAAGCTGTGTTACACTGGGGATGTTATTTACTTGTTTATTAGTTAGCACTTAGAATGAGTTCATTTTTAGGTGAGATAATATATTCACAATGATACACAAAAGTGCACACTGTGTGCTCCCTTTACCATTTACTATCTCCCTCCAGCCCCAACGTGTTACCACTCTTACTAGTTTTTTGTTAATCTTTCCGGCATTTTTAAATAAAAACCAAGCAAATGTAAATCTGTTTTCTTATTTTCCTTTCTTATTCAAAGGATAATATGCGTTTTTCAGCATAATGCTTTTTTTTTGCCTAATAGTGTAGGAAATCATCATTTAAGCTCGCAGGCCCTCAGTTTCCTCATGAGGCAAATGGAAAGAATGTTATTTACCTTATAGAAAAGCAAACAAATTAGTGGATGTGCTTAGCATAGTGCCCCCTAGCACCCGACAAAGACTCAAAATGTGATAGCTAGTATTATAATTGTTACCATGGGGGTAATGATAATAACATGTGCATCCAGGGAGGTGGTGAGGTTGAAATACAGTAACAGGTAAAAAAAAAACCCAGGCCCAGCACATAAGCGATACCCAACAAATGACAAAGTTATCAGCCAGTTCGGAAGAAATATCAAGTATTAACCAAACATTATTATATTAATCAAGTAGCAACCATATTTTGAAAGATTGAAATGCTTTTTAAAGTTGCTTCTCTTAAGGACATCAGCAATTCAACATCCTTCTTAAAATCTTTGAATTTTTAACACTAAGAAAGGAAAAGAATGGGATATTTATTAAGTATCCACTACATTGTATTGATTATGGCCCGCCACTTGTTTTTGTACAGTCTGCGAGCTAAGAATTCCTTTTAATTGTTTAAATGATTGAAAAAAACTTTCAAAAGAAGGTTAATATCTTGTGACAGGTGAAAATTACATGAAATCAAATGCTAATACCCATCAATATTCAGTTCAGTTCCACATCACCAATTCATGAAAATTACATGAAATCAAATGCTAATAATGTCCATCAATATATATTGGAAAGCCAACTCAGCTCCACATTGCCCCTGCTTTTGCACTACAGCAGCAGAGTTGAGTAGTTATGACCAGGGCTGTATAATCCACGAAGCCAAAGGTATTTACTATCTGGCTGGTCACAGAAAAATTTTGCTGACCTGTGCCCTAAATGACAGTTCCTTGTAGGTCAAATGGTGGTTCTGTGCTTCCTTTGCAGAGGCAGCAGGCCCCAGGAGGGGACCCAGACAACAGCGTGAGAGGGAAGGGCATGGACTGCGCCACCCTCACATGCATGGTGCAGCTGGCTCAGATCCTGGTCGGAGGTGGCCTGGGCTTTCTGGTCAACACAGCCGGGACCGTTGTCGTCGTGGTGATCACAGCGTCTGCGGTGGCACTGATAGGCTGTTGCTTTGTCGCTCTCTTTGTTAGATATGTGGATTAGGTCAATAAAGAGACAATGACCCTAACCTCAGAGACAGTGAAGCACATGGCAGGAAGTTAACATTTTCTGCAGCTCTGAATCTTAGGGTCTGCCCATTGGACGCCCACTATTGTGATTTCAGCCGTGGAATCTGCCCACCTCTCTCTCTCTCTCTCTCTTTTTTTTTTTTTTTTTGAGATGGAGTCTTGCTCTGTCACCTAGGCTGGAGTGCAGTGGCACGATCCCGGCTCACTGCAAGCTTCGCCTCCTGGGTTCACACCATTCTCCTGCCTCAGCCTCTCGAGTAGCTGGGACTACAGGCGCCCACCACCATGCATGGCTAATTTTCTGTATTTTTAGTAGAGATGGGGTTTCGCCATGTTAGCCAGGATGGTCTCGACCTTCTGATCTCATGATCCGCCCCCCTTGGCCTCCCAAAGTCCTGGGATTACAGGCGCAAGTCACCGCGCCCAGTCCCACCTCTCACTTTAAACCAATCCTCTGCACAACAGTCCCCATATTTCAGGCAACGTTTGCCTGGACTATGCCTCTATGCCTCGGTGGCAAGGGGTAAGTGTGGGTGGCAGCATCTCGGTGCAAGGGTGGAAGAGGCAGGAGCTGCTTTTCACAGGGCATTACAAATCTTGCTGAGACCTCAGAAGCAGACTAATTCCATATACAATGCTTGGATGTGTTCTGTGAAGTGATTTGATTTTTTTTTTTTAGCCAGGGGTCCATATATATTGGGGAATCATATATTTCATCAAATTCACAAATATTCAAAATATTGCTAATGATTTATTCTCTATTAATTTATTCATAATTTGCTCATAATTAATTCCTATTACTTTATGATACCCCTGACAAGTCTACTCAAACATCTCATGCTGGAGAATTCACCACTTTAAAATAGTTCATTTCATTGACACAGTAAAAATATTTCTCTCTAGTCTGCACCCTTGTTTCGTCCTCTGGATTTGATGTGAAAGTCTTTCCAAAAAACAGCCCCCTGTTTCTCCTATGATCTTCTTTTCTCCAAGCTAAGCAGTTTTTCTCTAACCACACCCCTTCAACTGCCCCATGATGAGGTTTTCAGCAGCCTTGAGAGACAGCATGGTTTAATAAAAATCGTGTTTTGGAATCAGCTGGTTTTAAATCCTGGCTTTGCCACTCAGCAGTAAACTATGTAATCTCCCCAAGGCACACTTGCTCATCTATACATTTGGGATAAGAATTGCTATCTCAGAGAGTTGTGATGATTAATAATATGTAACATTGGTTCAGGCATGGTGGCTTATACCTGTAATCCCAGCACTTTAGGAGACCGAGGCAGGGGGATACCTTGAGGCCAGGAGTTCGAGACGAGCTTGGGAAACATAGGGAGACCCTCTCTCTACAAAAAATATTTTAAAAATTAGCTGGGCATAGTGGTGCATGCCTGTAGTCCCAACTATTGGGGAAGATGAAGTGGGAGAATTGCTTGAGCCTGGGTGATCGAGGCTGTAGTGAGCTGTGATTTTGTCACTGCACTCCACCCTGGGAGACAAAGCGAGTCCTGGTCTCAAAACAAACAAACGAACAAACCACAAAACACAAACCATGACATTTATGGAGTCTTTACCACTATTCTAAATGCTTTAACGTTAACACAGCAATTGTGGGAGTGGGTGCTGTTACCACTCTCCATTTTTTAGATAAAGAAATGGAGGCAGAAAGATATAACTTATCTGAAACCACACAATTCTTAAGTGACAGAGCTGGGCTTTGAACCCAGTCACTTTGGTTCCGTTGCTTCCTGTATGGACAGCACTTAGCCTGGTGTCTGGCACATGAATGGAGGCATGTGATCCACAGCCCATCCCTCTTCACTGCTTCCCCCACTCCTCTCTCTACCTAGGCAGTGTAGAGTCCTTGTGTGCATGCTGGCGTCAGCACATCCATAGCCTCCCACCTGCCTCCACCCTCTATCGCTCCTGCAAACGACCACCCTTAGCCACTTAAGGGTGGACAGACTCAGTGGCATGGAATTCCCTCTGGAGGATAGACTCAAGAAAGAACCCATGGATTCCTTGTAAATAGACTCAGGGCCATTTGGACAAGAGATTCCAAGGTCTCACGTACCCAAGCATAATCTAGGAGGTGGGAGGACTAGGGGGGCACAGATTCCAGAAGGTCCTGTGCAATCCTTGCCATGTGGGGAGGGGCAGGGGAAGAGCAGGGTCTCCTCTAATGATGACACCCAGACCAGGGGCCCTGGCTGCCCAGGGCTAAGGACCGTATCTACTGAAGTTGGCCAGCCTAGGAGCAAAGAGCCATTTGTTGTCATTCTGTGCTGCAGCCTCCTTCTCCTTCCCAGCCTCCCCAAGTGTCTTATAAGGCAGTGGCATCCCTGATATCTCACACGCGCTTTCCTCCTGCTGCTGCTGCTTGGGCTTCCACTTTGTTGCTTCAATTCTACCATTACCTCCTTTGTGTTTAAAGAACCCACTCTCTGCAGCTACCTGGTTCTTATACCTGTGACTGAGGCAGTGCTGGGGTGTGGAGCAAGGCATCTGAAATGCCCCTGTGAGTCTGGCCACTTCTGGTGTATATGTTGGGGGGAACAATAGAGGGCAGGGGTTTATGCTAAAGTGGCCACTTCTTCCTGCCCCCTGCTCAACCTCGTCACCTGCAGGGCATGCAGCTTCCTTATCCAGGCTCCTGCAGTGTGTCTGTCCCATTCTCTCCAGATCACTGGTGCTTTCCAGACCCAGCTAGGCTGTCTTCTCTGGCTTGAGCATGCTCTTTTACTTATCACCCTCCAAGCCTTGCTCCCTTCTCATTTTCTGCTTCCCAATCAGGTCCTCCTGTATTCTATTAGTACATTCACTCCCAAATGAAATAATCTCTTTCTTTTTACAGAATATATACAAAATTACCCCTTCTTCTCTACTCCACCCTCCCATCCCCCTGCCATTATCCATCCTGGAGAAATAAGTTAATGACTCATTTAGAGAGGCCACGAGGGAAAACACCTGCTCCCAACCCCATTGTGTGGGATGAGGATGGGTAAATGTTCAGAGGACTTCATGGCACATAACTCTTGGCATTAGGAAAGAAACAGCGACAAGCCACCTGTCTTATCTCCCTTACCTGTACTTGGCCTCTGCAAGGTTTAGAAATGGAATCCTCTCCAGGGTTCAGTGTTTATTTCCTGTCCGTTTCTCCAAAAACTGTTCTGATGTGTGAAGATTTGGAAATGAATAGATGGGCCAGCTGGAAAGGTGACCCACAGCTAAGGGCCATCTTATTGAACCCCCAAGAAGTCAAATGTAGTCATCCCTAACCAACCACAGGGCACTTGTGCGCGCGCACACACACACACACACACAAATATGCAAATACTCATTGAACTCAACTCCCTTGAGGTTTGAATGAATAAATATAATCCAATTTTCAAAGTCTTTAACCACATTTGGGAATCTAAGTATTTGTTCTCAGTATACCAATGACATATTCTTTCTGGCAAAAGAAATTTCCTTTCCCCAGACAAATAAAACTAGTACAAGGACGCATACTCTCAACAGAAATCCTGGGAAATCCTGCAAGAGAAAGAGAATCCCTACTACTTTGTTTCCTGCTTCCCTAACCAAGCATCCGACATTCCAACATCAAAGCTTTTAGTCACCACATTTTATTAGCGTTGAATATCCTCTCTACCTCCGAACCAACCCCTGCCATTCTGCCTAAACTGTGCCCATATATTTAGACCTGTCTCAAATATTATTTTGACCAGAAAGTCTGACCTCCCAGCAGGATCAACTTTTCCTTCCTTTGTCTTTCTTTCTTTCAGCCTTACTTTGACATTCAGCTGATCATTCCCTGTCTTATCTTGCTTGTGCTCACCGCTGTCTGTCCTTTTACGTGTGGAGGTCAGAAACGTGTCTGGTTCGTGTACATCACCTCAGCACCCTGCACAGGGGATGGCACAAAACAGCCACTCAAAAAGTAATTGTTGATTACAATTGATCTGACCATTTCCTTTGGTGACCCTTTTGTCTTTGTGGTAGACCAAAGTCATGATCTTTGATCCCTCCTGCCATGTTCTCAGAAGCCTTGTGCTTGGGATTTGGACAAAGTGACCCTTTTTATAGAGGTTATTTTTTTCCCATTCCTCCAGCTCCTTCTTTGCTGTTTTTCTAGTGCCCATAGTAGCAGATGCACATACTTCAACACCCTTTCCTAAAAATTCTGAGCTACCCATACATTATTTTATTGTTAAATTGAAATGGAAATTTGCTTTGATAAGAATCTCTCAGTAAGAGTCTATTATCCGTGTTATAGATGTATCTCCTACCGTGCAAATGTTAGTTTTCTCCTGTGTTTACTTTTTCATGTATTTTGTATTTTGGGGACCTTTGTGGAGCTTACATTTCAGTCTTTGTTAGCCTAATTGCTATTCAATATCTATATCAATAATTGTTCTTCCCAAAGGGTGAAGAAAAAAATGGACTACTTCAAAACAAACACACCATTCAGTTTTCTAAAAGAGCTGACTTCACAAGACTGCTCAGAATCGCGACTGGCAGCTTCTGCCTTTGTGGGAAGGCATGAGTGTTTAGTCATTTCACTGTGTTTTGCAATCACAGAAAGCAGATCAGGGAAGGTGGGAGTTGTAGATCTCACATTTTGAGCCCTGAATCTCAGATACTGCAGAAAACTTTCAACGACATCACTAAACAATTCTACCGTTCAAGAGGCTCTTTAAACAGACCTGTTTTTACGAATGGCTATTTTTTATATTAAACCAACCACCCTGGTGGGTGCCTGCATCATTGGTTTTTTGGCCCCAAACCAGGTTGCCGAAGAGAGTAGCAGTACCTCTATGAAAGCCAGCAGAGGGGTAGGTAGACTGATGTTTGATCCCAGTTCTTAGAAGAGCCTCAAGAAAGGACTTTGTGAGGGTTTAACATCTTAAGCTCCTGTGATCAAAACAGAGTCAACATGAGAAATGTGAGGCGGTCTTCAGAGACAGCTCCATAAACTGTCTGGAGGCTGGGAAAGAATTTGTCATGCATGCTTAATATGTAAAGCACTCTTTAGAATAAATGGAAATTGGTGATGGTAATGTCCGATGGGAATTACTATTTCCTACCTTCTCTTGTCAATAATATAAGCAATAAAAAAGCCCACAACTGAAATTCTGATGATACCCTCAGAACAGTTTCCCCAGTACTCTGCTCGCTTTAGAACATGGTACCTGAACCTTCTATTTTCTTTCCTACCCCACACCTCTGTTTGAGAGATCCGACCCAGCTTCTAGGAATTTGGTTTCCAAGATTCCACTTCCCCCCGCCCCCCGCCCCAATTCCCCTTGCACATTTCTGCGGTATTTCTTCCTCTTCTATCTAAGCCTACCAGAAAAAAATTAATAATAAAATAAATACTGAACCATCCCTCTACTCGCTGGTCCAGGGCCTCAATCAAAGGAACAGCTTGATTCCCAAAGCGTGGGAAGGGAGGAACTGAAGAAGTGCCCCCACTCCTCCCAGTAGAGCTATTCAAGATGCCTCCGGGCCCAGCTCACCGGCAGCACGCAGACTGCTCTCAGAGGAACTGGAGCGCCCGAGCTTCCTGCGCGCAACGCGCCAGCGCTCCACTTCCAACTCTGCTACCAAGTGAGCATATGAGCCCCCTTTTACCTTTTGGGGCAGCAGCCTGAAGAAATTTCCCTGTCCAGCCCTTCTAATCACACTGTGTCTCCTCCCTCCCGCAGCGACGACACTCCCCAGAGAATGGCTCTCCCAAGCTGGTGACAGGTGTTATCCCCCTGCTAACGTCTGAGCTCCGGGGCTGTGCAGCTAGGTCGGGCTCAGGGTGTTCCCGCTGGCCCAGTCCGGAATGATAATTGTCATAATGACTCCATTGGAGGTGGCTTTCCTTTGCCGTTTCTCCTGTGGGCGGACCAGGATGGTCAGTTCTTTTTCTTAACTCCAAAAGCGTTTCTTGCCTACCAGCTCTAGATTCCTGGGGCAGCCCCGCAGCAAGTAGGACCTTGGCGCTGCTGCAGTCTCGTTTGCCAAGACGCAAAGGAGTGTTTGTGCCGACGGCTGCCCTCTCCGCAGAAGTCGCTGGAATAAACGGGCACAATTGTCTGTGCATCATTTGGCTAAGCCCCGCTCCCCGTGCCAATTTCTCTACATTTTTGCTGCTTGTCTTCGCTTCTGGGCGCCCCCACACTACTCAGCGTGGGAAGAGTAAGGAGAGGCTGTGGGGTGCGGAGCGGAGGTTGGCTGTCTGGCCCGTGGGGCTCGTCTCTATCCCTTTGCCAATTTCCTCTCTCCACCCGATTTCGAAGCATCTCCTCTCCAGAGAAGGTCCTCGGCCTATCCACAGGCTCCTCCTCCATGCTCTGCCCATCCTCCTCCCACCTACTTCTTAAATGGGGCCCCCCCCAGCCCTCCTTCATCCTTTCACCTCTTTACCGCCCGGGGAAGGCCACCTTGCCCCGACGGCGCGCCCTGGGCCTGAGGCCTGCGTCAGTAGGCAGAGCTGCTGGGCAGCAGGTCGTAGCGCCCCCCGCTGTAGACCACGACGCCAGGTGGGTAGTAGAGCAGGTCCGGCTCCGCGGCCGCGTGGGGCGGCGCCGGGGCCTGCAGCCCCTGATCCTCGTGCTCCGGCTTGGTAGTGGCGGTGAAGGGGCGCATGCTGGTGATCGAAGGAGACGCGATGCGCCACAGCAGGCTCTTGAGCGCCTTGCGGAACTCGCGGCGCACGAGGCAGTAGAGGACGGGGTTGAGGCAGCTGTTGGAGTGCGCTAGGCACACGCTCACAGGGAACGCGTATACCTGGCACAGGAAATACTCCTGGCTGAAGGGCACCGCGTTGAACTTGATGAGGATGCTCCAGGTGGTGAGCGCCTGGTTGGGCAGCCAACACAGGAAGAAGGACAGGACAACGATGGTCACTGATTTGGTGACCTTCGACAGTCTCCGGGCGCTGGCTCCGGTCGGGCGTCCTCCGGCTACCGCGGCCCCTCCTTTGGTCCCCGCCGCGCGGCGGTCGGCGATGAAGCGCACCAGCAGCAGGTAGCACAAGATAATGATGCCCAGCGGCAGCACGAAGCCCAGCAGCACCTTCTGCGAGTGGTAGAGGCCCAGCCAGAACTGCCTGTCGCGGCCCAGCAACTTGTCCGGGAAACGCACCAGGCACAGCTCCTCGCCCATCACCTTGACCGTGGTGGAGAAAATGGCACTGGGCAGCGAGGCCAGCGCGGCCAAAGCCCAGATCCACACACACAGCGCCTTGGCCGAGAAGCAGCAGCTGTCCCCCAGGCTCCGGCCGCAGCAGTCGCCCCGGCCGTGTCCTCGGGTCCGGTGGCTCTTCAGAGCCGAGGCCACCGAATGGTAGCGCGTCACACTCATGGCAGTGAGGAAGAACACGCTGGCGTACATGTTCATGGACGTCACCATGGACACGATCTTACACATGGCCTTGCCGAAGGGCCATTTGAAGTCAAGAGCGTTCTCCACCGCCCAGAAGGGCAGGGTGAGCACAAACTGAAAGTCCGTCAGCGCCAGGTTGGTGACGAAGAGGTTGATAGAGGACTTGCGCCAGCCCTGCATGCTCTTCATCAGGTAGAGAACCAGCAGGTTGCCCGCCAACCCCAGGGCGCACACCACCCAGTACACCACGCTGATGAGAATCCGCACCCGGGCCTCTGTGTCCGCGCTCTCTGCCCCGCCGCTGCCCGGGGGATGTCCTGGCGGCGCGCCGTCCGGCAACTCCAGCCCCAGCTCCCACCACAAGTCCGGAAGCTGCAGCGACGCGTTACCACTCGTGTTGGCCGCCTCCAGAAGGTCCGGGACCAGACTGAAGAGTTCTGCTAGCTTGTCCCCGCCTGCTGCCTTATTCATGGTGGCTATCGTGGCTGCATCGGCCATCTGCATGCGCAGGTACCTCTAGGTCATGTTCTGGGGGACAAGACCTAAGATAACACGGTTTACCCCAGTTTTGTTGCCAGGCTAGCCTGCGGGACGTGCGTGGGAGCTTTCAAAGCAGCTACTGAAGAGAGAGCCCAGGAACTGGGTACTAAGCGCGTCCTGGCGCGCAGCGAACGCCCTGGACGCAGGAGTTGAGCTCAGCGGCTGCTTTGGAGCAGAGTTGAGGAGTGCAGCCCGTAAGGCAAGCACTCGGCGTCCAAGGGTTCTCAGGCCAAGCTCGGAGTCCCTAGGTCCTTATGTACAACGCAGACTTCCCCTCTCCGTGTCCCGCGGTCACTGGGGCACTGGCGCATAACTCCCCCAGCCGCTCAATTGTGCGATTTGGGGCCGCTCGCTCCCTTTCAAATACCTTTATCCGTTTCCTCTGGGACTGCTTGGATGAGGTTTCCGTCCTTGGAGAGAAAGAGATCGTAGAGTTCCATCCACCACGCTCAGCTTCCTGGAGGTCAGTGGGTGTCTGCGTCTCTCCGCGGTTGTCAACTCCGGGTGGGTTGCCAGCGGCTCTCACCAGTTACGGTGGCACTTGCACGGCCAAGGCGGCGGGCCCCAAGGAGCATGCGTAATCCCGGGGCGCCGCGAGGGGCGCTTTCCGAGGTGCTGAACCCAGCCGCGCCCGCGCCGCGAGGGAGAGTTGAGCTGCAGGCAAAGCCCACCCGCCACTCCAGTTTTCCTCTCCAGAGTTTCAGCAGGAAGGGTCTTAAGAGTTTATTTTACAGCTGCAGGAGAAAGTCGGCTTTGACGTGAGTTTCTTCTTCCTTTCTTATTCCCAAACATTATGATTAGAAGTTTTTTTTTTCTTTCTTCCTCACTCCCACTTTTCACCGGAATTATTCCATTTGGTGAGGAATTGTTCTAAAAATATGAGCTATCCTGCTTACTTTCCTTCTTGAAAGTAATAACAGTGGCCTCTTTTCATGCTCAAATGAGATAATGGGTACTTATTGGATACACAAAGGACAGCTCCACCTCCCCTCTTTAATTAGCTGACCACTTACGCAGTACCTGTGTTTGTCAGGATTTTCAAAGGGTCTTCACATGGCAGAAGTCTGGGCTCAAGGGTTGCCCCTACTTTAATGTATTCTGAGAGGTGACACAAAAACAGAGCAAACAACTGATGGTCCTACTTCACAGAAATTAAATGCCCTAAGCCCAAAGCGCTTCAACAAATTGTTTGATCACATACAGGCCACAGTCTCTTTACCTAGATGCAAATAGAATAGAGGATACCACTGGGCTGATCGTGAACCACCAGCCCTCCTATTTCCATTACTGTTAGCATCAGGACTCTTTTTCAGGCGTTTTTCAGACCAATGGAAGTACATTCTAAGGACTCTTCCAAGGGAATGAGTGGAAACCACTTGAATTACTTCTCAAGCTTCAGTCTACATAAATGCCAGGTCAATCGCTCTGGTGTAAATTACACTTTTAGGATTTACTTTAAAATTTTGAAATGTTTTCCTCTTGGTCTGGGACTAAACTGAAACCAAAGTTTCTTAAGCATAATTGTCCTCACTCCTGGAGTACTACAGAACTCCCAGCTTTACTTAAGGAGATAAAGAGGATGCAACCTTCAAGCTGAGGAGATAAGAAACAGAAAAAGAAAGAAAGAGAAAAACGAAAAAGAAAGAAAGAAAGAAAGAAAGAAAGAAAGAAAGAAAGAAAGAAAAGAAAAGAAAGAGAAAAAGGAAAAAAGAAAAAAAAAGAAACAAGAAACAATCTTGATTCCAAAGGACTTTTAGCCCTGAAGAGCACACACCTTGCTACGGATGCTGCACAGCTCCGTCTTCCCACTAGAGGGAGTAAGGGCTTTAGTAAAAACCTAGCCAAACACAAACATCTCCTTTGATCAGTTCTTACCTGGAGATCACCCCTGCCCTGAGGATTCCTCCCAAAGCACAGGTTATTTCTATGGATGACTATTATCCTGGTTTTAGTAGCCTCACTTTCACACTCAGTTTTGACTTTATTTTTAACTGGTTATTTCTCCATCAATTTTCTCTCTCTCTTCATCTATGTCTCTATTTCTCTTTTCTAATATTTCAAGGGGCTGTTGAAACACAAGAAAAGCTGGGGCATACCCTGAAAGCTCTCTGCTGTTAAATTTTTGGTATGTTCACACCAATGACCTCCATCTAACACATACACAGCTTCTCAGTGCTTCTAGGCACACCCAGGAATATATCTACTTGGTCTGCTCCAAATCACATGTACATATTCATACTTTATGAAAAAATTATAGGGGCCTGATTCAATTCATCTCACATTCATTGGCCACTTACTCTTGCCAGGCACTGAGATAGGCTGAAAGACATAAGTCCTCTATTTTGAGCGTCTCTGGAATTCTTAATCTAGATGAGTGTGCAATCTACTAGTGTCTAAAACTATATTTTTTGTTTAGTTTTGTGCATGACTAAGTTATCTAGAATGTAATGATTCATGCCAGATAAGTGGACAATAATTTTACCTCTTTTATTATTTCCCTTTTTTTTTAAGGGGTGGGTAGGTAATAAATAGTTATACCTTGATGGGATATTCCAGTTTTAGGTTTTTTGGGAGGGGGTACTCTATGTTGGTATTTAAAGAAACCATAAAGGAGGAAGGGTGCAGAGCTTGTTATGTTACATATGTGGTCTGTTTTTCTGTTCCTCTTCTTACCAAAATTGAAACCAGGCTGTGATGGGGGCCTGGAGGAAAATCAGCATCAAGAAACTGTCTCTCATTCACAGTGGCAGGGTATGGGATCTTGAAACCTTTTTCTGGGCTTCTTTTGTGTTCCTGAAGCCATGTGGGCCATGCGAAGCCATGAGGACAGCATAAAATCATACTCTAGCATGTAACCATTGGGAGCCCATGATCATAGAAGGGAAGAAATCACCTGCTTTGGTCCAGCATTTTGCGGAGGAGGCTTGAAGAAATGAAGGTATTTACCAAGAATCTCACCACTAGGAAGGAGCCACACCCGGTCTAAAACATAGTCTTGACTCTTAAGTGATGTCTCTTGATCTATGCTCCATTTTCCAATTTGGATCTAAGTCTTCCATATTGTTTTTCAACACAGGGGTGGGTGGTAGGCTGAATAATGCCTCCCCCCACACACAAATATGTCCACATCCCATTTCCCAAGCCCTTGGATGTTACTTTATACAGCCAAAGGAACTTTGCAGCCACTAGAAGCTTAACTAAGCAAAAAGATGGATTCTCTCCTAAAGCCTCAAGAAGGAAACAGCTCTTCTGACATCTTGGCTTTACTCTAGTGAAACTGATTTTGAATCTCTGATCTCCAGAACTGTGAGAGAATAAATGTACCTTCTTTTAAGCCACAACATTTCTGCCCATGTGTTATAATAGCAATAGAAACTAGCATAGGGTGGGTACACAGCCTGGCTTGAACATAACCTAATGGGAAATGGAGCAATTCTGATTTGAACATGTTGGTTAATCTTAACACCGACTTTGTGCTAGACACTGTGTCATGTACTAGAGATTTAGTGGTACCAGAACTCACATTCTAATAGATGAGAGAGACCTTTTAAAAATTTGAATTCTGGGTTGGGCACACTGTCTCATGTCTGTAATTCCAGCACTTTGGGGTGCTGAGGCAGGCAGATCACTTAAGGTCAGGAGTTCAAGACCAGCCTAGCCAACATGGTGAAACCCCGTCTCTACTAAAAATACAAAAATTAGCTGTGTGTAGTGGCACATGCCTGTAGTCCCAGCTACTCTGGAGGCTGAGCCAGGAGACTTGCTTGAGCCCAGGAGGTGGGGGTTGCAATGAGCTGAGATCACATGGCTGGACTCCAGCCTGGGCAACAGAGCAAGACGCCATTTCAAAAAAAAAAAAAAAATTCTAATAAATTGTATTATTATAATTACAATAAGAAAAAAACAGAGTAAAATAGAAAGTTACAAAACCATGTGCAAGTAACTAACTTTTAACTATTTACAAGCATATTTATCTAATTCTAAGATTCACATCTTATCAAATTAAAGATTTTTAAGATCAATATGGATTTCCAATTGCTATATACCTATTTAGTGAATAATTTTTTTCTCTAGAAAGCTGTAAACAAAAGGTGTGTCTTATAAGCTATAGTATCTTGGAAGAAAGGAAATTCTATAATCAGGTAAATGGGGGTGAGGTGGGGGTAAGGAAAGGGGAAGAAAGAGGACTCTGGGCAGAAGGAACAGCCTGAGTGAAGGCACTGGGCAGGAAAGAGCATGATGCTTTTGTAGGACAGAAAGAAGATGAAGTGCCTATAACACAGGGAGATGAAGTAAATAGTGCTAGATAGTCTGGTGACATGGGCAGGTGTCAAACAATTTCCGACTGCAGAATTTTGATCTATGACTTTGGAGTAATGGAGGACATTGGAAAATTTGAAGCAGGGGAGCAACACAATCAGTTTCGCATATTCAAACCATCACTCTAGATATAGTGTGATGAGTAGACTGGAAGGGGCGGAGCTGATATAAATCAAGACAATTAGGAAGCTACATCAATAGTTCAGGAGAGAGATGATTGTACTTTAATCTAGAGGGATGCGGGGCAGAATAAGATTTAAATAGGCATTTAAGACACTGACTTGACAGTACTTGGGGGTGGACTGCATACAAAGAAAGGGTGAAGGTAAGGACAAATTAAAAGCTTTCAAGTTTTTACCCTGAGCATGTGGGTAGGTAGGCATGCTGAGCAAGTGAGGTGGGGGAAGATGACACATTCAGGCTGGACATATGAGAGTGTGAATGCCCCAATCAGATTTAGATGTCAAAAAGACAGTTGAATACATGAATCAGTGACTCAGAGAAGATAAAAATATGTGGGTCTGCAGTGTATAGATTATAATTGAAGCTTTGACATTGATGAGACTGTCTAGAGAAAAAGTGTAGAGTGAGAAGAAATCTCTTGTTAAACCTGGGGGAAATCTGAGATTGGACTGTCTGGTAGAGGTTGGAAAGCCTGTTGATGATAATTGCTACATGTATATTTAATGAATATTCTCACTGTTTATGACAATGAGAATTAGAGCTAGAAAAGAGGAAAACTAGGAGCCTGTGACATGTGAACCCCGAAAATCCGAGACGGGTCTCAGTTAATTTAGAAAGTTTATTTTGCCAGGGTTGAGGACACGAGCCCATGACACAGCCTCAGGAGGTCCTGATGACATGTGCCCAAGGTGGTTGGGGCACAGCTTGGTTATATACATTTTAGGGAGACATAAGACGTCAATCAATATATGTAAGAAGTACATTGGTTCAGTCTGGAAAGGCGGGACAACTTGAAGCAAAGGCAGGAAGACTCGAAGCGGGGGAGAGAGCTTCCAGGTCACAGAAGGTGATATGCAAAGGGCTACATTCTTTTGAGTTTCTGATTAGCCTTTCCAAAGGAGGAAAATCAGGTATGCGTCTATCTCAGTGAACAGAGAGGTGACTTTGAATAGAATGGGAGGCAGATTTGCTCCAAGCAGTTTCCAGCTTGAGTTTTCTTCAGTAATTTTGGGGGCCCAAGATACTTTCCTTTCACACATGGAAGCCAAGAAATAAAAGAAATGTAGGGGAAAAAAAGCAGGGGCTGTATTTAATGCTGTGTCTAATGTGAGGCCAAGGAAGGCAGGAAAGGAGAAATGTTCATTGGATTTATGGACATGGAGACCATTGAAAACCTTGGGGCACTATTTCGGGAGGCAGATACTGGGAGAGGAGATACCAATGAAACTAGAAAGCTATTCTCATTGACTTCTAGCAACCAAAGAAACTGAGTCAACAGGAGAGACAAAAGTTTGTTTCAGTTCAACTGGCAAGTCAGTGACAGAATTAGAAAGGGATTCAGAGATATTGACTAACATTTCACCCTTTGGTTTGTTAATTGACGCTTTAATTGAGTCAATTGACTCTTTAATTGAGTCGATTAACTGCCTAACAAATCAAAGAGTTTGAGCCTTTGGGGTCCTCAGGCACCACTGCTAATCTAAGCAGTCACTTTAGTCTAAATTAAAATTTCTCAACCTTGAAACTATTGACATTTTAGGCCATATAATTCATTGTTATGTGGGAGGGGCTGCATTGTATGATTATTATTTACTAGCATTTCTGGCCTCTACTTGTTAGATACCAGTAGCAATCCCAGATGTTGTCTTGTCAGACAACCAAAACTGTCTCCAAACATTGCCAGACATACCCTGGAGGCAAATATCTCTTCCTTCCCCAAGGTTGCAAACCACTGGGCTAAACATGAACCATTTGTTAGAAAGGGAAATGGCAGGAGACTGTGAAAGAATCTTTTGTTACTCATTCTCACTTCTAGGAAAACAATTCAAGGGACCTCCCCTTTAGGTGGGAGTTGGAAGGGTGTATAGAGAACAACAGCATGTTACATTTTTGTATGCTACATACACACCCCTCCGAGCATTGGTGCAATGCATCCTTTTCACTGGAAATCCCCATCCTTTCTCTAGATGCTCTTCAGTTAAGCTAAAGCAGAGCTTGCTAATTTCTTTTAAATAGATGAGCAGACCTGCCTTGGGAAACTTCAGAGGCTCTCGCTCATACATTATGGTTAAGACTTCCCTGACATTGCCTAGATGGAAGAGAAGTTCAGGAAACCCGGACCTTGGCACATTGGCAGTTCTGATGTCCACCCACAGTGGAATGGTTTAGTCCTGTGGCTACTGGATGCCGCCTCCATCACCACCGTGCTAAAGAAGGCTCTGGCTCACTCAGGGGCCTGCTCCATAGCCTGAGGACATTGTGCTGCTGGTCCTCCCGAGCCCATTCTGCAAGTGAAGGAAACTACAAACAGACACGGGTTGTACCTTTGGAACTTTGTGTTCAGATGTCTCCCAACTAAGATTCAGGTTAGACTTCTCCAACAGGCATTCTAATTTAATAGGGATTTGAATGTTGGAAAGAGAAGCCCAGGGATAGGGCATTCTTATTTGGAAGTGAGAAATCTGAGGTCTGACACTAAGTAACCAGATAACGATACCCCAGTCAAATGACAGTGTAGAAGCCAAGTCTCACCAAACACAGGCCTCCATAACAACTCTTTCAGTACTGAGTGGTTAAGTTAAATACGAAAAGCCAGTGGCTTTATACAAAGGCTGGTATGTAACAAAAGCCCATCAAGAGTTTTATCTAGGCCTTTCCTGGGCCTTAAAGCATGACAAAATAAAGAAGGAATTCTTAACAGGACCCATTTAGGATGAAACAAGTTTTATCGTGGGGCTGAAGAAACTCCCCAGGCCTCAAACAAGTTCGTTGGGGGGTCTGAAGAAACTCCTCAAGCCTCCGTAATTTAGCAGGAGACAAGATAAGGGTAATCACGCCAGCACCTGGATCCATTTAGATTAAGTAAATTTACTGAGGCTCCAGAGAAAGGTCTTCAAGACTCAGACCGTAGTTATAGATTAAAAGAAGTTAATCACTTATGTCTTTAGATGAATGCACACTTACAAGTAGACATACAGCTTAGAAGGTTTATAAACTCTGGAAAACTTTGTAATTTTGAATAGGTCTGGCGATAATTTCCAGGCCTACTCCCTGTAACCGGCTACAGAAATAAAAACTCTCTTCTTCCCCAGTTCATCTGCATCTCATTATTGGGCCATGAGAAATAGAAGCCCGACCCTCAGTTTGGTCCTGGAACAATGCTTCTGGGTCTCAGGTTCCTCATCTATATAACGAAGGAATTGAGGTTCTTGAATATTCTAAGATAGACACTGAATCGGTGACATCAGAATCAACTAGAGCTTGCTAAAAAATACGGGTTGCATCGCTCTTCAGACCCCAGATTCTGATTCTCAGTGGATTGGAAAGGAGCCCAGGAATCTACATTTCAAACATTCTTCCAGGTGATACTATTTTTTTTTCAAGTTTGAGAACCTCTGGACTAAATTTTATTCTAGTTCTAACACTCTATGTAAACAAATTTTAAATCTCAAAGAATTAATCTGCAATGATGGTTTATCATACACTGCGATTGGAAGTAAAAGACATACAGAGAAGGGGATATTGAAGCCTGACAGGTGATATCTCTTCATTGTTGGACTATGAGGGTCATGTGCTCTGGAGGTACATCAGGCCATGAGTACCAACCAACATGAGACCCAAGCTGAAACTGAAACTGCCTTTGAAAAATTATAAATGAGGAAATTATGACTTTGAAAGAGATCAGACCTAACTGACCCCATCTTGCTTCTATCTTTTAAGCTGTCCTTGCTCACTCCTGGGCATAGGCTGAACTAACCTCGGGAAGGCATTCAGTTTATGATTTGACTCTGAAACAAAATTGATAGCAGCCCTTTCCCCAAAAAAAACCCCTTTTTGCCTTGGGACCAGTCTGCCTTCGTAGGACTAACAAATTAGCTACAAGAGTAGAAATTATGGTTTAAGAGTCATGCAGCCTCTGGCTGCAAGAGTCTGAATCTCCCCAAATTGCTGATGGGGATAACATCAATATTGTAAAACTGAAGATCGGTGCTTGAAATATTTTGCAGACCCTGTACTTGATGGACCAGCTGACACCACCCAGACTATTAATCTGGCTCAACCAGTTCTGCAATCCTACCCAGGAACAGAAGACAGCAAGCAAACCTCACTTTGACCCCCACTATGATTCTATCTCCAACCTAACCAATCAGCACTCCCCACTTCCTGAGCCCCTACCCACCAAATTATCTTTAAAAACTCTGATCCCTGAATGCTCAGGGAGACTGATTTGAATAACAAAACTCCAGGTCTGCTGCACAGCTGGCTCTGCGTGAATGATTCTTTCTGCATTGCAATTTCCCTTTCCTGATAAATTGGCTCTGTCTAAGCGGTGCGCAAGGTCAACACGTTGGGTGGTTACAGGACCCCAGGAGAACTTGTTCCCAAGTGTGACCCTTGGAGACTGCTGCTGGAATGCTAACACACATAGAATGTACTTGACTTTTTGAATCTGTTCTTGAAAATGAACCACAAGATCATGTGTAAGAATTTATACTACTGTTTAACTAAGCCTGTGTTGTGGAACCAAAAAATCCTTTTTCTTTTTTTTGAGATGGAGTCTCGCTCCGTCGCTCAGACTGAAGTGCAGAGGCACGATCTCAGCTCACTGCAACCTCAGCCTCCCAGGTTCAAGCGATTCTCCTGCTGAGCCTCCCGAGTAGCTGGGACTACAGGCACGTGCCACCACACCTGGCTAATTTTTTGTATTTTTAGTAGAGATAGGGCTTCACCTGGTTAAGCAGGATGGTCTTAATCTCCTGACCTTGTGATCCACCCGCCTTGGCCTCCCAACATGCTGGGATTACAGGCGTGAGCCACTGTGCCCAGCCTAAAAAAATCCCTTTTCAAATGACTTCTTTTCCAAAAACACTTAAAGATATTTTAGATCACTTATCTTAAAAGTATGGGCCATGGTTTACTCAAACAGGATCTAAAAATTTCAAGGAGAGGGGCATCACAATCATGGTCAAATACCATGTCAGTGTACTGTTAAAATATTACCAAAATCTTGCCATATAAATTTCTACTGGAAAATTAGGCTGGTGGATAATTTGATTGTATTGTTCAGGAGGATCTACTTTGTGGAAAAATAAAAAGAGAAGATTTATTTCTCCATCGTCTGGTTTTATTTTATTTTATTTTATTTTATTTTATTTTATTTTATTTTATTTTATTTTATTTGAGACAGAGTCTCACTCTGTCACCTAGGCTGGAGTGCAGTGGCGTGATCTCAGTTCACTGCAACCTCTGCCACCCGGGTTCAAGCGATTCTCCTGCCTGAGCCTCCCAAGTAGCTGGAATTACAGGCACCTGCCACTGCGCCCGGCTAATTTTTGTAGTTTTAGTAGAGACGGGGTTTCACCATGTTGGCCAGGGTGGTCTTGAACTCCTGACCTAGAGATCCACCCACTTCGGCCTCCCAAAGTGCTGGGATTACAGGCGTGAGCCAGCACGCCCAGCCCACAATAGTCTGGTTTTAAATCAGCCACCGCTTGCTTCCCCATCCTCACTCATTAATCTGATTGTCAAGTTTTATCACTGTGGATGCACACATGTCAATCTCTGTTTTCCCAGATTGGTGCCTTTGCTAAAAATGTTCTTGTGAATGTTTTCTCTTTTCCCTCATTTCAATGTGTTTCAATCTGACCTGTACTTTAAGGCAAAATGCTACCTTCTTTGGGAAGCCTTCCCTAATTTCTTAAGAAACAGGTAGGCTGGGGGCAGTGACTCACGCCTGTAATCCCAGCATTTTGGGAGGCCAAGGTGGGTGGATCACTTGAAGTCAGGAGTTCGAGACCAGCCTGGCCAAACGGTGAAACCCCATCTCTACTAAAAATACAAACATTAGCTGGGTGTGGTGGTGGACACCTGTAATCCCAGCTACTCGGGAGGCTGAGGCAGGGAGAATTGCTTGAACCTGGGAGGCAGGGGTTGCAGTGAGCCGAGATTGCACCATTGCACTCCAGCCTGGCCAAGAGAGAGAGACTCCATCTCAAAAAAAAAAAAAGAAAAGAAAAAGGAAAAAGAAAAAAGAAAAAGAAACAGGTGTGATTTTTTTCCCCTCTCAATCTTAGAACCCTCTATTAGCATATCTCTTAAGGCATACGTACCTGTGTAAGGAGTGCTGTGGCTCTTTCAGTATATTTCTCATCTCATTTCAAAGGGTGTCATCCTCTTGTGGACAGGCCGTGTATCATCATCGTGGTTGTTTGCTCTTAGTGCTGAGCCCAAATCTTTCACATGTGTGAGCACAGAACAGGCTTGTTGATTGGAGTCTACATTCAGGTGGTTTCCTCTTAGGAAGGCAATCCAAAAATCCTTAAAAGGTAACTTACAAGTTTCCCCTAACTATCCACTCATGTAGAATATCCAAGTGTAACTCTAGGGGAATTGACATTTTAAAATATTTTATTTTTGCCTAACCTATACCTGCATCTAGCTTAAAGCCACCTGCACATTAAAGCAAGGGTGAAGCCTTTTAAAAATACTGATGCCCAGTGCCAATCTTAAAACAATTAAATCAGAAGCACTTGTGGAAGAGTAAAACATGAAAATTTCAGTTCCCCAATAGCTGGGTCCTCTATATTTCTTCTGCCCATAGGCACATTCAAATGTTTTAAACAATTCTTTTACTATATAGCTCAATAACTCTAGCTGATATGCTTATATTGCTACTCTATGTTTTCATTTTAGGCATTATTTTTCAGTTCCTACTGTGGAAGGTGAGTAGCCCTTTTTCTCACACATTGCTCTTTCACTTCTAGTAACATTCTAACACCTCCCCATTTGGTTCTGTTGTACTTTTGAAAGATCAATTTCTAGCATTTATGCTGTAATGACTTTACTAACAATTGAGCCATACAGTATATAGCAATTGTTTTTTTTTTCTTGCACAATGTTTTGTCTCCATTGAAATTAGCAATTATCGTGGTTTGTTCAACGTAATGATCACTAAAGTATCCTCAAACTGTCTTTGAATTGTGAAAAATCTTTTCTCCATATCTTAAAAAAATTAGGTTCTTCTCTATCTGAGGATGTTAGCCTCTTCTTGCCTAAAGACATTCTGCCCTGAGGTTAGGGCCTTGCAAAGGGCTTTTGGTCATCCTAAGGACTACCTCCCCTGTTTAAAGAGGGGGCTCTATAATCAGACAAAGTCCTGGCAGGCCCCAGGGAGTCTGGGAATACTTAAGCGTGACACGTGAAGAAAGTACAGTATACACCAAAATAATTGCAAGTTTATCAATGTTGTTGATGGAAACTGAGAACATTTATGGAAATGGATCCTAAAAGTGCTGGATTATGGTGGAAGAAATGCAATGTTGGTCTGGTCACATTTGTTGATATGAGTACAGCATGCAGAGATTCTAGATTTAGTATATTAGTTCAAGCTATAGGAAGTGGCTCTAACAGTGTACTTGTTGGTTGGTTGAAACATGGATCTAGAAGTATCCTAGACAAAATTTAAACTGAAATGCCAGAAATTTTAGAAATGTCTCAGTATACTACAAGGGACACTACCCAGATGCTTAGGATGATAGGCATGGTAAAGTAGATTTACCACGTAAGATCTGCTTACTCATCCCTAACTGTGTATACTCTTTCAACAAGGCAGCAAGAAATACATTCATGAGGGGACCCTGGGCATCTTTGAAGACCTCTGTGGAGTTGTTATCAGTAGGCCAGGAATGCAAGTGGGAACTGCTGTCATTGACCTAGACTCCTTGAATTCAATGAAGATAATGGGATTTCAGGGTGGCAGGGGCCCAGTGGAGGCCCTGAATTAGCAGAGGTGAAGTAGGAAAGGCATGACAGTATGCAGCAAAGTGGAAGCAATGATCAGAATGGTTTGACCTATGACTTCAGTGCTAATTGACCATTGTTTCTAGGACTGAAATAGGTGGACAACCTTGTAAGGTCTTACTTGATATGTACAAGCAAAAAAGTCACTAAACTTTGTGAACAGAGATCTAACTTGAATCACAGTAACAGAGATGTTGTCCCTCAAATAATTACCAGATTTGAACCAGTTTATAGATGCGGAGTCCCTTGGATGAAAGGGAGGCCAGGTACCTTCAAGGAAGAACTGTGAAAAACAGCCAAAAATTTGTATTGTAATCATTCTCTTTAGCTTTCACCAAAAGAACTTGCATTCATTTGCCAGTGTGACTGGGAATAGAGGAGAAGAAATAGCTAGACTTTGGCTCTGAATTGACACTAATTCCTAAAGGCCCAACATTGCATTGTGGGCCACTAATCAGAATAGAAGCTTATGGACATCAGGTGATCAATGAAATTTTGGCTAAGCTCTGTCATATGGTGGGCTTAGTGTGTCCCCTAAACCACACTGTGGTTATTTACTCAGTTACAGAATGCATAATTGAATTACTCAACAATGCGCAGAATTCCTCTATTGGTTCCCTGGTCCATGGAGTGAGGGCTACTGTAGAAGCCCAAGTGGAAGCTAGTAGAGTGGCTTTTCCTCACCAAAATAGTAAACCAAAAGTCATACCATATACTTGGAGGAATCCTGCAGAAGTTAGTGTCATCACCAAGGACTTAAGGGGTGCACAGGTGGAAATGAAATGGCAACCATTTCTGTGTATGGCAAGAGGCAGTTGTATCTTGCTCACATTTTAAGTGACCTCCATGCTACTTTATTGGCATTGGGCAGCAGCTGGGATTTTAGCTCTTCCACTTTCTACTGCATATCTTTCTTTAGCTTTTTTTGAGTCCTGGGCCAGGCACATGTGTAGCTCTATAGCAAAAGGTATCAGCTTCCTCTGCAGGTCATCTGCATTGTCAGTTCTGGAGGTAGTGAGAGAGGGATTTTACTAAATTCAAGTTTGTCTTCATGGGTTCCAGCAGAAGAACAGTTTTTTTTAAAGAAGAAGAAGACAGGACAAGTGAATATGCCTGGAAATGATTGAAGGTTATCTTACTCCAACTCCAAAGAAAATTTGGCTGATAGATTTAGGCAGATCCTTCTAGCAGGCAAAGAGCAAAGAACCAAAGTCAGCTGTGCATGGGAGACTATGCTTGAGGGAGAGACACATGAAAAGACTGTGGAAAGAGCCTAGGAGGCCATGCTTGAGAATTTGGATTGCACTTACAGCACAACAGGAAGCCACCAGAGGGATTTATGTAGGTGCAGTAGATGCTGTTGGTACCCTGCACATCTCACCTTAGCACGTGCCATTTCCCTGTTTGCTAGCTTGACTTTCAAGTATCAGCTCTGGAGACTGTTTTCCCCAAGGCCTTTCTGTGGCAGTCAGAACCTTCCTTGCATGCTGTGGGGCAGCCTAGAGGTGGTGGAAATTTAACCCTCCACTCTCAACCTTATAAGGTCTCAGGGGACCTTATAAGCAATCACTGATGGGAGTTGATGTATAAATATCCTGGCTACCTTGCTTCTTTGGCAGAGCAACTCTGATGTGTGCTTACTCTATTTCCTGGAGTTTAGAGATAAACCTTTAGTTGGCAGAGTGGAAACTTGCGACAATACACCCTTTATTAGATTTCTTCCCTTCTCTATCTCACTTCTCCACTCCACTTGTGTTATCTGAGGTCATCTTCCAAATAAACTACTTTCACTTGAATTTTTGGTTCTGGATCTGATTTGGGGAGAGTCTAAATTAAGATAGCAGGAACATTATGGAATCCAATTTAAACTGTGTAAAGATCATACTAATTGCTGTATGGTGAAAGATTGTAAGGCAACCATGGTGTGAGCTGGGAACCTAGAAAAATGCTACTGAAGTAGTCTAGGTGGAAGGGGGAGCAGCTTAGCAGTGGTAATTGTGGGGATGGAGAGAAGTCCTGATCTGAGTTTTATTTAAAGAGTAGAATTATAATCAGGATGTGGTGATGGACTGGATGGAGTTAGAGGGAAGGGAAAAGGTAGTTTCAAAAATAACTTCATCCTAGGAAGCTAATAGGAATTTACTACAATGGAAAGACTGGGAAAAGAAAGATTATGGTGCAAGACTAAGAGAATTCTCATGGACATGTTGCCTTTCTGATATCCAGGTGCAGAGGTCAAACAGGCAGGGGGAAACAGGTATGTGGGTCTTACAAGCTGGGACTGGATTGGTTACTAAATGAATAAGAACATGTGAAATCACCCAAGGAGAGAGAGTATAGAGGAAGAAGGCATGCACCCATCCAGGGTAGAACAGAAAATGTCAGTTTCCAAAGACAAGGCTTCCATAAAGTTTCTAGAGGAAGCTATCAGGATGAGCATTTTAATTTAAATACCTATTTTAAAAACAAATTTCTGGAGAAAACTGGAACTGTTTCCACCAAACTGAATGCAGATAACAGAGACTGAAATAGAAAATATTAAAAAGGTGAGTTGAGCATATCTTTAATAAGACTAAGACCTTGAAGAATGCATAATTGTTTTTTACTAAATATGGAAAATTCACTGTCAACTGGGGCTTTTCATAGATCAAAAAAGGCCTGGGCTTCCTTCAATTTTTTTCCTAATGCTCCTGATATAGATAGGCACTTGATCTTAGCCAAAAGGCTGAGAAGTCATCCTGATATAGACAGAAAGATAAAGATAAAGAAATAGATAATATAATGATGTATACATATAATGAAAATATGCCAAAATTGAATTACAAGATGATATTGTTATAATATACATAGTTAATTAGAAGCTTAATATTTTAACACAAGAAAAGACTGTGTAACCTGAGATGTTGTAAAAGCCTAAGTTTGATGTCCTTTGTGAGTGCAAGATCTAGGCTTCTTGTCCCACTTCCTGACTCCAATCCCCTGTGGGCTTTCATGGAACTGTTGTGATAACTTGGACTGGTCCCAAGAAGATCAGACCTCACCTTGTGACTAGAAATGATGTCTTTTCTTCTCTAAAGGAAACAAATGCCCCCTGTGTCAGTGAACAAGCTTTGGACCTTAGGCTGTAGAAGGGAAGGACTCACCTACTCTTCGGTTAAGGCAATTGGAGGGCTGGA
Organism: Homo sapiens; assembly: GCF_000001405.40. Classification (NCBI taxonomy): domain Eukaryota; kingdom Metazoa; phylum Chordata; class Mammalia; order Primates; family Hominidae; genus Homo; species Homo sapiens. Next base: position 122,547 of record NT_187551.1, on the reverse strand, counting down.
CTCTGGACTATGCAGATGTCTGGGTGGGGCTGGGCCATCCCTATGGAACAAGTTGGGCAAAGATCCTCTAGTTGTGAGCCTGAAGGGTAGCCAAGACTAGTAGCAAGAGAAGCAGCCCTGTGTGTCACTCCTCTGGGTGTTAAGTTTTATTAAACACTACTGCCTGAATTTAGCTGTGTTTGGGGGAATGAAAGAAGTGATTTGAATCCATGCCTAGGGTGGACTGTTGTGGGAGAGAAAAATGGGAAAAGGAGAGTTATATGACTGTGCATTGTAAACTCAAGTTTTTAGGCAGTCTAAGGTGATCCATTCAAAGCTTATGTGGTTGGCATAAGGGCAAGTGACCACCTAGGCAGACTTGCAGAACACATAAGCAGTCTTCCTGGGTTCTTTGCCTTGGTTCTTGGCAAGTGGGAGACAAGGTAGAGATGGACTTTTCACAGTCCTATGGATGAAGCTCAGAAAATGATCACTGGGGATATAAAAAAGAAAGTTCTGATATAGGAAAATGGCAAATAGGACACAGGACTAACTTGCAGCTCCCACTCAGATAAACAGAGCAGTGTGTGGAGAATCACAACATGAACTTTTGCTCCAAGAACTACCACAGGAACATACCAGGAAAGCTGAGAGAATCCACAGACCCACTGAAAGAGGCAGCTTGCTGCCACAGGCTCTATGAAGCAACTGAAAAACTGTTAGTACCCAAAGTGTGACAGGGGGTATGTCCACCCCTGAACACACATCCTCACTGGGAAACTTGCAGGTCCAGATCACAGAAGAAGGATTTGACTCACCTGAAGCTGAGATGAATTTAGAGAACTGAGTGAAATATAGGGGTAGGAGAAGCAGCAGGAAGAGCTCTGTGGGCACTCTCGGTCCCCAGGGAAGCCATTTCTGACTGTCTTGCAGGAATCCTTGGGGAGGGCTGCCAGTGGAATTGGGGATAGACCACAGGGAGAAGGAAACTTTCAGCAGAACTTTGTAACAATTTCAACTGAACATGAAGTTTCCTGGACAGAGTCTGGGGGAGGGGGGTGAACGATGAGTGCAGATAAAGCACAGAAGCCATGGCAGGCTGAGATGTATGAAACCTGAAAGCCCTGCTTGCTTTTTTGGCGGGGACGCCTGTAGCCTGAGGCCAGATCTCAGCCCTGCTCACGGGCTGCCTGGAAATTAACTCATTGCTGTTGGGGGGCATGGTGGGAGTGAGACCGACCTTTCACATTGCTTGGTAACTGGGTGAGGCCTGTCACTGCTGGCTTTCCCCCACTTCCCTGGTGACCTGTATGACACAGCAGAAGCAGCCATAATCCCCCTGGAAACATAACTCCATTCTCCTGAGAACCTCTATCCTCCACAGCAGCTGCAGCAAACCCTGCCCAAGGGGAGCCTGAGCTCAGACACACCTAAACCTGGCCCCACCTGATGGTCCTTCTCTACTCATCCTGGTAGCTGAAGACAAAGGACATAATCTCTTGGGAGCTCTATGGCCCCACCCACTACCTGAGAAAGCCAAATACTTATCCAGATGACCCCAGGGCAAGCTCGTATCCTCCCTATACCAAGCAGCTGGTGTTTTCTTGAAAGGGCCACCTCCTAGCTGGAGGCTAACCAATGCTAAACCAGCACACTAAATAAAACTATAACCAAGGACCCTCACAGAGTCCACTTCACTCTCCTGTTACCTCCACCAGAGTAGGTGCTGTGCCAGAAATCTAGACATCCAAATACAAGAAACTCAAAGAACACCCAGGAAATTCATCATAAAAAGATCACCACCTAGGCACATAGTCATCAGATTATCTACAGTCAAGATGAAGGAAAAAATCTTAGGAGCTGTGAGGCAAAAGCATTAGGTAACCTGTAAAGGAAAGCCTATCAGATTAACAGCAGATTTATTAGCAGAGAGAGAGACCTGAAGATGGATCATGTCACAGGACTCTTTGCAGGCACTCCTCAGTACCACCCTGGAGCTTGGTAGCTCCATTGAGTGGCTAGACCCAGAAGAGAAATAACAATCATTGCAATCATTGCAGTTTGGCTCTCAGAAAGCCCCATCCCTAGGGAAAATGGGGAGAGTACCACATCAAGGGAGCACCCCATGGGATGAAAGAATCTGAATGACAGCACTTGAGCCCTAGATCTTCCCTCTGACATAATCTACACAAATGAGAAGGAACCAGAAAAACAATTCTGGTAACATGACAAAACAGAGTTCTTTAACACCCCCAAGACATCACATTAGTGCACCAACAATGGATCCAAACCCAGAAGAAATTCTGAATTGCCAGAAAAAGAATTCAGAAGGTCAAATATTAAACTACTCAAGGAGGCACCAGAGAAAGGTGAATACCAACTAAAGAAATAATAAAAAAAAAAAAGTTAAAAGATATGGGTGGAAAAGTCTCCAGAGAAATAGATAGTATAAGTAAAAAAAAAAAAAAAAAAAATCACAACTTGTGGAAATGAAGGACACACTGAGAGAAATGAAAAATACACTGGAAAGTCTCAACAATAGAATCAAACAAGCAGAAGAAAGAATTCAAAGACAAGGCTTCCGAATTAACCCAATTTGACAGAGACAAACAAAAAAGAATAAAAAAAAATGAAGCCTCCGAGAAGTTTGAAATTATGTTAAATGACCAAACCTAAGAATAATTGGTGTTCCTGAGGAAGAAAAGAATTCTAAAAGTTTGGAAAACATATTTGAGGGAATAATCAAGGAAAATTTCCCTGACTTTGCTAGAGATCTAGACATCCAAATACAAGAAACTCAAAGATGACCCAGGAAATTCATCATAAAAAGATCACCACCTAGACACATAGTCATCAGATTATCTACAGTCAAGATGAAGGAAAAAATCTTAGGAGTTGTGAGGCAAAAGCATCAGGTAACCTGTAAAGGAAAACCTATCAGATTAACAGCAGATTTATTAACAGAAGCCCTACAAGCTAGAAGGAATTAGGGTCCTATCTTTAGCCTCCTTAAACAAAACGATTATCAGGCAAGAATTTTGTATCCAGGAAAACTAAGCTTCATGAATGAAGGAAATATACAGTCTTTTTCAGATAAACAAATGCTGAGAGAATGTGCCACTACCAAGCCAGCACTACAAGAACTGCTAAAAGGAGCTTTAAATCTTAAATCCTTGAAGTACTCCAAAACAGAACCCCCTTAAGCATAAATCTCACAGGACCTATGAAACAATAGCACAATAAAACAACAACAACAACAAAATGAAGTATTCAGTCAACAGCTAGCACAGTGAATCAAATAGTACCTCACATCTCAATACTAACATTGAATGTAAATGGCCTAAATGCTCCACTTAAAAGATACAGAATGGCAGAATGGATAACAATTCATCAACCAAGTATCCACTGTCTTCAAGAGACTCACCAAACACATAAGGACTCACATAAACTTAAGGTAAAGGTGTGCAAAAAGATATTTCATGCAAATGGACATGAAAAGCGAGCAGGAGTAGCTATTCTTATATCAGATAAAACAAACTTTAAAGCAACAGCAGTTAAAAAAGACAAAGAGGGACATTATATAATGATAAAAGGACTTGTCCAACAGAAAAATATCACAATCCTAAATACATACGCACCTAACACTGGAGCTCCCAAACTTATAAACATTACTACTAGACCTAAGAAATGAGATAGACAGCAACACAATAATAGTGGGGGACCTCAATACTCCGCTGACAGCACTAAACAGGTCATAGAGATAAAGTCAATAAAGAAACAATGGACTTAAATTATACGCTAGAACAAATGGACTTAACAGATAGTTACAGAACATTCCACCCAATAACTGCAGAATAGACAGTCTATTCATCAGCACATAGAACATTCTCCAAGATAGACCATATAAAAGGTCACAAAACAAGTCTCAATAAATTTAGGAAAATTGAAATTATATCAAATACTCTCTCAGATGACAGTGGAATAAAATTGAAAATTGACTCCAAACAGAACCCTCACGATGATAAAAATAGATGGAAATTAAATAACTTGCTCTTGAATGATCATTGGGTCAACAATGAAATCAAGATGAATATTAAAAGGTTCTTTGAACTGAACAATAATAGTGACATACCCTATCAAAACCTCTGGGATACAGCAAAGGCAGTGTATTAGTCCATTTTTATACTAATATGAAGAAATACCCAAGGCTGGTAATTTATAAAGAAAAAGAGATTTAATGGACTCATAGTTCCACATAGCTGGGGAGGCCTCACAATCATGGTAGAAGCAAAGGAGGAGCAAAGGCACATCTTACATGGAGGCAGGCAAGAGAACATATGCAGGGGAACTGCCCTTTATAAAACCATCAGATCTTATGAGACTTATTCACTATCATGGAAACAGCACGGGAAAAATCTGCCACCATAATTCAATTACCTCCCACTGGGTCCCTCCCACAACACATGGGAATTATGGGAACTACAATTCAAGATGAGATTTGGGTGGGGACACAGCCAAACCATATAATTCCACCCCTGGCACCTCTCAAATCTCATGTCCTCACATTTCAAAACCAATGATCTCTTCCCAACAGTCCCCCAAAGTCTTAACTCATTCCAGCATTAACTCAAAAGTCCACAGTCCAAAGGCTTATCTGAGACAAGGCAAGTCCCTTCTGCCTATGAGCCTGTAAAATCAAAAGCAAGTTAGTTACTTCCTAGCTACAATGGGGGTGCAGGCATTAGGTAAAGACACCCATTCCAAATGGGAGAAATTGGCCAAAACATTGGGACTACAGGCACCATGTTTTGGTGCCTGTAGCAAGAATCACCCTTCCTCCAGTTCTCAACAAGTTCCTCATTTCCATCTGAGACCATCTCAGCCTAAACTTTATCATCCATATTAGTATCAGAATTTTGGTCAAAGCCATTCAACAAATCTCTAGGAAGTTCCAAACTTTCCCACATTTTCCTGTCTTCTTCTGAGCCCTCCAAACTGTTCCAACCTCTGCCTGTTACCCAGTTCCAAAGTTGCTTCTACATTTTTAGGTATCTTTACAGCAGCACCCCACTCTCTGCAGTACCAATTTACTGTATCTGTCTATTTTCATACTTCTATGAAGAAATATCCAAGATTGGGTAATTTATGAAGAGAAAGAGATTTGATGGACTCACAGTTCCATATGACTGAGGAGGCCTCACAATCATTGCAGAAGGTGAAGGAGAAGCAGTCACATCTTACATGGTGGCAGGCAAGAGGGTTTGTGCATGGAAACTGCCCTTTATAAAACCATCAGATCTTGTGAGACTTATTCACTATCACAAGAACAGCATGGGAAAACCCGCCCTGATGATTCAATTACTTCCCACCAGGTCTCTCCTATGATATGTGGGGATTATGGGAGCCATAATTCAAGATGAGATTTGGGTGGGGACACAGCCAAACCATATCAGGCAGTGCTAAGAGAAAAGTTCATAGCCTTAAATGTCTACATCATAAAGTCTGAGAGAGCACAAGTAGACAATCTAAGGTCACAGCTCAAGGAACTAGAGAAACAAGAACAAACCAAACCCAAATCCAGCAGAATTAAAAAAATAACAAAGATGAGAACAGAACTAAATAAAATTAAAACAAATAAAATACAAAAGATAAATAAAGTAAAAAGCTGGTTCTTTGAAAAGATAAACAAAATCAATAGACCATTAGCAAGATTAGCCACAAAAAGAAAAGATCCAAATAAGCTAAATTAGAATTGAAATCAGAGATATTACCACCAATACCACAGAAATATGAAAGATCATTCAAGGCTACTATGAACAGATTTATGTGCACAAACTAGAAAACCTAGAGGAGATGCATGCCAGTTAGAATGGCAATCATTAAAAAGTCAGGAAACAACAGATACTGGAGAGGATGTGGAGAAATACAAATGCTTTTACACTGTTGATAGGAGTGTAAATTAGTTCAACTATTGTGGAAGACGGTGTGACAATTCCTCAAGGATCTAGAACTAGAAATACCGTTTGACCCAGCAATCCCATTACTGGGTATATACCCAAAGTATTATAAAAGATGTATGCACACGTATGTTTATTGTGGCACTATTCACAATAGCAAAGACTTGGAACCAACCCAAATGTCCATCATTAATAGACTGGATAAAGAAAATGTGGCACATATACACCATGGAATACTATGCAGCCATGAAAAGGATGAGTTTATGCCCTTTGCGGGGACATGGATGGAGCTGGAAACCATCATTCTCAGCAAACTATCACAGGGACAGAAAAGCAAACACTGCATGTTCTCACTCATAAGTGGGAGTTGAACAATGAGAATACATGGACATAGGAAGGGGAACATCACACACTGGGGCCTGTTGGGGGGTGGGGGGCTGGGGGAGGGATTGTGTTAGGAGAAACACCTAATGTAAATGACAGGCTGATGGGTGCAGCAAACCAACATGGCACATGTATACCTATGTAACAAAACTGCACATTGTGCACATGTACCCTAGAACTTAAAATAAAAACAAGAACAACAATGACAACAACAACACTAATCTCAAAAAACTTAAAAAAAAAAAAGAAAACCTAGAGGACATAGATAAATTCCTGGAAATATACAACCCTCCTAGATTCAACCAGAAAGAAATAGAAACTGAACAGACCAATAACAAGCAGTGGGATGGAAATGGTAGTAAAATAAATTGTCAACAAAAAAAAAGTCCATGACCAGATAGATTCACAGCTGAATTCTATCTGGTCAGGGACTTTTTTTTTTGTTGGTGATTTTTGCTGGTGAGAATATAACTAGTACAACTGCTATGGAAAACAGTGTGCAGATTCCTTAAAGAACTAAAAGTAGATCTACCATTTGATCAAGCAATCCCATTACTGGGATTCTACCCAGAGGAAAAGAAGTCATTATCAAAAAAGATATTTGCACATGCATGTTTGTAGCAGCACAATTCATAATTACAAAAATATGGAACCAGCCCAAATGCCCATCAACTAACCAGTGAATAAAGAAAATGTGGTACATATATACTATGGAATACTATGCAGCCATACAAAGGAATGAAATAATAGCATTTGTAGCAACCTGGATTAAGTTGGAGACCATTTTCTAAGTGAAGTAACTCAGGAATGGAAAACCAAACATCGTACATTCTCACTCATAAGAGGTAGCTAAGCTATAAGGACATAAAGGCATAAGAATGATGCAGTGGACTTTGGGGACTCAGGGGAAAGGGTGGGAGGTGAGTGAGGGATAAAAGACTACACACTGGGTGCAGTGCACACTGCTCAGGTGATGGGTGCACTGAAATCTGAGAAATCACCACTAAAGTACTTATACATGTAACCAAATACCACCTGTTTCCCCAAAACCAATTAAAATTAAAAAAATACCAAAAAAAATCCTCATCTTATAGTTTCAAGATGTTGTGATCAGGAGATATGTCTGTTAAAAATGTAGCAATATCCATGATGTCTAAGAAAAGCACTCTGTGGCATTTTTAAAGATAAAGACTGTTCTTCTGACCTTTAGGTACTTATAATTAGAGATAAAATAAAGTGACATGAAAAGTTGAATAAATATATAAGCTTACAATCCAAATAATGTAATATGTAAGTAATGTGTAAGTAAAGGCTAGGATGTAGGTTTGAAAGAGCCTATAGTCATGTGGGTAGTTTGTTTTGGAAGACTGTAGTACGGAGGAATAATTTGTGTGGATCTGGATTAGAAGACAGAAAATCACTCCTGGAGTCAAATTAGAGAGGAGTTATATAATCAGAACTTCTAGATCCTGAAATTTTACAGGCAAAGTGGATTTTCAGATAGAGAAAAGAATTTATTCTTTCAAGACTCCTTTGGAGTATGTGTGGCTGCCCCTCACACTGCATTACTTCTTTTTAATCTGCACATGTGACAAATCTTTTATCCTACTATAATTATGAATTGAGTTCTTGTATACACACAGTAATGTGTTAGGTGCTTAGATATATAACAATGACAACGATGATACAATATGGATATTGATAGAAGCTATGATGACCATTCACATTTATTTGGACACTTTATTAGTTTAATAGCCTTGTTGTAACAAGTTACTACACACTGGGTGGCTTAAAACAATGGAAATTTATTCCTACAATTCTGGAAACTACAGTCAGAAAGCAAGGCATTGGCAGGGTTGATTTCTTCTGGAGGCCCTCAGGGAGAATCCATCTGATACGGTTTGGATGTTTGTCCCCTCCAAATCTCATGTTGAAATGTGATTTCCAATGTTAAGGTGGGGCCTGGTGAGAGGTGTTTGGGTCATGGGGATGGATCCTTCATGAATGGCTTGGTGCCCTTGCCATGGTAATAAGTGAGCTCTTGATCAGTTAGTGCATGAGGGAGCTGGTTGTTTAAAGGAGACTGGCACCTCCTCCTATCTCTCTTGCTCCCTCTCTTGCCATTTGACATGCATGTTCCCCCTTTCTTTTGCCATGGGTAAAAACTTCCTGAGGCTTCACCAGAAGCCAAGCAGATCCTAGTGCCATGCTTGTGCAACCTGCAGAACTGTAAGCCAAATAAATCTCTTTTCTTTATAAATTACCCAGCCTCAGGTATTCCTTTATGAAAACACAAAACAGACTATCATACCATCCCATCACTCCAATTTCTGTCTCTGCCTTCAGATGACATAGTCATTTCTGCGTGTATCTCTGTGTCTCTGTTTTCTCTTTTTATGAGGCTATCAGCTGAATTAGGGCTCACGATAATCCAGTATTACCTTATTTCAACTAATTACATCTACAAAGACCTTATTTTCAAATAAGGTCACGTTTGTAGATACCAGGGGTTAGGACTTGAACATATCTTTTGGGGGAGCACAATTCTACCTACCACAGGTGTACAACTGTGTACACTGTGCAAAGGGTTTCATCTGCATCAGCTCACCTAATGACCACAACCAGCGAGGCTGATACCATTATTATCCCAAATCTATACTTGCAGTCCTTTACTTCCAGAACTCTAGAGTTGTCTATTCAATTGCTACTTGATATTCCCACATGGTTGCTGATTTTCCTTCAGATTTCTCAATCTTGCTTAGTGGCATTACTATTCCCTTATCTGTGCAAGTTAAAAACCCAAGAATAATTCTTTATTTCTCATTTTCCTTTGTACCAAATCTAACCCTACCTAGTAGGTTCTGCTAGCATGGTCTCAAAAAATTCTTTTTTCTTGAATCTGTTTACTTCTTTCCATTTCCACTGGTAATATTTTGTATTAGTTACTGTTTGCCCAATAATAAATTACATTAAAACTTTATGGCTTAAAACAATGAACATTTATTATTGCACAGTTTCTATGAGTCAAGAATCCAGGTGCAGCATAATGCCGTTAGCTCAATGTCTCTCTCTCATGAGGCTGCAGTCGAACTATCAGTTAGGGTTACGGTTTTATGTGAAGCCTTGACTGATAGGCAGAGGAAACTAATCCTAAGCTCACTCACATGGCAGGTCTCCATCTTTCACCCTGTGGGATTCTCCTCAGGCTGCCTCACAGCATGGCAACTGGTTTCCACCAGAGTGAGTGATGTGATAGACAGACAGTGCTCAGCATAGAAGCTATAGTCTTCTTATAACCTCCCATCAGCAGGGACACTCCCAACACTTCTGCCGTATCTTCTTGTTTAAAGGAGAGTCCACACTCAAAGAGGAGGGGGACACACTCAAGTAAGTCCAGTCCACACTCAAAGAGGAGGGGACTACACAAGAGTACATGGGTCACGGGGGACATCTTAAACGCTGCGTAGCACAGCAGGGCAGGATGTCATGATACCTTGTGGAAAACAGGAGTTGGAGGGAAAGTCATCTAAGCAGATATTTCAACAACTACACAGTGCTGGGGCAACAGAGATTGAAGTTCCAACCTGGTAAAGTGGAAGGGTGCAAGTAATTTGTCTAAGCTTTTGGTTGAAACTCCAGAAGGAACACATCCTAAGGGTTCTACACCCTATTCTCAACAAACGGAAAATATACATTTTTTTTCTAAGTATACATAGTATATTCATCAAAACAGACCACATGCTGGGCCAAAATCAAGTTTCAAAAAATTTCAAAGGATTGAAATCAGACAGAGCATGTATTTTGTGCACAGTAGAATTAAACTAGAAATCAATGAAAGAATGATAACTAGATGTCCCTCAAATGTTTTGAAATTAAGCCACACATTTAAGCAACCCATGAGTGAAAGAAAAATTAACAAGAGAAATTAAAAAATATTTTAAACTAAATCATAATAGAAATGGGACACATCAATATTGGTAGGTTGCAACTAAAGCAGTGCTTAGGGGGAAGTTTATAGTTGTATGTGCGTATTTTTAAAAAGATGAGAAGTTAAACATCTAAGCTTCCAAATCAAAATACTGGAGGAGGACAAATATGTTACTTACATAGAAAAAAAGAAGTATGAAAATTTTAAAGATAGGAGCAGAGTAATACATGGAGAGTTTCTGTGACGGCAAGTATTAACCTTCTAGTTGCCAGATGATAGAGAGATGTGTGAAGGGGGCCTCAAGAGAGGATGAGAGCAGCTTGGGGCAGGGGTTACTTAGTGCTCTCGGGGCAGTGGTTAACCTATAAGTATGGAGACATATAAACATTTTATAAAACTTCTACTGTTAAATTCCCTCATACCAGTGGAATATGAATATGGAGTCTTCTCAATATGGTCCCACCCTCTATTGTATCCTCTTGTCAACCTTTCCCCACCAGCTGCAATACCCAAACACTGAATTGTGCTGACACTAGCCCACTAGTCATTCCCTACATTTTGAAGCAATCTCCCTCTCTTCTTTGCCTACCCCATCACTCTTTTTGCTCAGGTAGACATTTTTCTTCTGTCCCTGTTGTCTGGTAAGCTACTAATTGTTCTCCAAGATTCAACTCACACATTGTTTTTTCTTTGAAGGATTCTCTTATTCCCAATATTCCCTAGACAGAATGAATTACTCTTTTTGTGCTGCCATAGAACTTTGCATGAATATTTATTATAGTACCTTTTACTGCCTTAGACAAACACAATAACAAATGACCACCCCTTCTCTAAACTGAATACCTCTTGAGAACTGTAGTCATATCTAATGCACCTTTGTATACCCAGCTCCTGACATATGCCTAGAAAATCATATGCAGCTTGAACCTATGAATGAGACATTAATTCCATTTCTTTCCTAACAACTAACATCCATTTAACAAAGAGAATGCATTTACAGTTAGAATACCCTGCAGTAATCTGTGAGCTCCGTTTCAAATGCTTCTCTGGTCCTCTCCGTATTCCACATGCTCACAACCTGGCAATTGCCATTCTCCGTGTGTGGGAAGCAATATCCCCCCTGAACTTTGCCCCAGCTGAGGGGGCCTCTGCAATCAGGGTAACAACCATGCTTCCTAGTCAAAGAGTTAATGGGGCTTTGTTTCAGCAGAAGATATTAAAACTGGTCTTGACTGCTCCACAGCGTTCAGAGGGCAATATTTATCACATTTCATTATTTTTCTAAATTAAATTCAGGCTGGGTTAAGGCTCCTCTAACTAAGTTGGAGAGACATCAGACCAATCATCTCTGGTAGCCTCTTCCTCTTCAGCTGTACCCTAGGGCTCATGCAGTTGGAAAGAGAGAGAGGATCCTGGTTCCGGTGCCCTGCAGGCACACTGCTGATGTTGTTGCCATGTCATGTCTGAGTGCCTAACAAATTCTGCAGCTCCACTGGCAGCTTCTTTTTATGCTGAGCTCAGCCCTGGTCATCTCTGTCGAGTGTCTCAACAGGATGACCCCATATGCCCACTTGCTATTGACACCCGTGCAGGCCTTCTCACTCAGGAAAGCACGGAGGCAAGCTTTGAACTCTTCTAAGTCTCCAACCTCTCTCCTATCCCAGTCTCTAAAGTTCATGACCTTTTGGACTTTAGCACTTCCTTTTTAAATTATTGAACTCGTCCATTCGACCGTTGAGAAATAATACAACCTAATCATGGCAGAACCTCTAAAATAGTGGTTGTCAAAATGTGCTCCCAGCAGGCAGCATCAACATCACCTGGGAGTTTGTAGACATGCATACTCTGGCCATACCTGATATCTACTGAATCAGAAACTCTGGGGCCGGGACCCAGCAATCTAGGTTTTCACAAGACTACCAGGTGATTTTGATATATTGAAGTTTGAGAATCACTGTTCTAAAACAAAGAGGTAGCCTTTCCCCAACTCCCACTCTAAAACACATTGAGAAAGAAGGAAGGAATATAGGAAGGGAGGAATTGGTTATTACTCTTCCCCTTAAATAAAGTTCAGGCAAAAGAAAATAAGGATGTAAGGATGTGAGGGATTAGGGGGAGGGGAGCAGGTATGTGCATTGGCTGCTTTCGCCTTCTAAGGTTATGAATATCCATGAAAGTAAAAACAAAATACAGTAAAATTTTTCCAATTGATTATTCTGCCACAGAATAAACTGTTGATGCATTGTTTTCATAGCTGTCTTAGAATCTCTTGAGGAGCTTAAAAACATTCCAAACTCTCGGTTCCTCCCCCTAGGAATTCAGATTTTGTAGGTCTGGATTAAGATCCAGATGTTATTTTTGCAAAGTTTCACAGGTTATTCTAATATGCAGCTGAGGTTAAAATGCATTGCCCTAGATCTTCTGTTGTCTTTTAAGAATGACACAAGGAATTTTAACTCCCTGTTACCTCCTAGGCCCATGTGTGACACAATCAGAAATGGACTGGGAACATCCAATCCTAGCTGCTTCTAGTGGCCTCGTATTCAGTCCAAGAGCTGACATTACCACTCTTTTTCTTGCTTGTTTACAATGATCAGAGGAACGACAGTAGCATTTGCACATAGGTCTAACCACTACAAAGTCATTGAGGAATGCTTTTGAATATCAGCCCCTACACTCTTCCCACCTCCATCATTGCAAACTAACTTAGGCTGACTTTTTATGTATAGCTTCTAAGTTCTTTTATTTTGTATTTTTTTAAAAAGTTTAAAAAATCGACAGCATTTTATGCTTTTATTGTATACAATATGATGTTTTGAAGTATATATACATTGTGGAATGGTTAAATCTAGATAATTAACAAATGTATTACCTCCTATAGTTATCATTTTTGTGGAAAAAGCATATAACATCTACTCTCTTTTAAGAATATAGTATATCACCATTAAGTATAAAAACCTTGCCATACAGAAGACCTCTTGAAATTTATTCCTTATATCTAACTGTAGTTATGTATCCTTTGATCAACATTTCCCATCCGCTCCTCCCCCAACCACCCTAGTCTCTGGTAACCACCATTGTACTCTCTACTATTATGAGATCAACTTTTTTAGATTCCACATATGAATGAGATCATATGATATTTGTCTTTTTGGTCTGGCTTATTTCATTTAACACAATATCCTCCAGGTTCATCCATGTTGTACCAAATGGCAGAATTTCATTCTTTTTTATGGCCAAATAGTATTCCATTGCGTATATCTACCACATTTTCTTTATCCATTTATCTGTTGTTAGACACTTAGGGTGATTCCATATTTTGGCTATTGTGAATAGTGCTCCAATAAACATTGGAGTGCAGATATCTCTTTGACATACGGATTCCATTTCCTTTGGATATATATCCAGTAATAAGATTGCTGGATCATATGGTAATTGAGACCTGAATAAGCATTTCTCAAAAGAAGACATACAACTGGCCATCAGGTGCTTGAGAAAATGCTCAATATCATGAATCATTAGGGAAATGCAAACCAAAACCATTCTTCTGCAGGCTTGGTGAATCTAGCTAGCATCTAGTATCAAGGATTTACCTCAGGAAAATGCAACAATGTTTTATCAGCAAGATATGGCTAGTGATGTAGCTTCAGTCAAACAGTAAAAACATTCTAAAACCACAGACTTGACATAAATCTATTTATCAATCAGGTCAATGGTGCCACTTACAAAGAGGGACTACTTTCTAGATTCTAAAAGCATGTTTAAAACTGCAATATAATTCACACATAATAAAGTGCAACATGCTTGAAGTATAACACTTGATTCCAACATGCCCGAAGTTTTTTCTTGCCTCTTTGTAATCTGTCTGTCTTTCAGACTCACTCATTCTGATTTGCCTCTGTCACTATAGTTTGCTTAACCTAGAATTTCATAAAAATAGAATCGTATGTATCCTTGTTTTGTACTTTAGAAAAAAATCTAGCTTTTTTTTTCACTGAGCATAATTATTTTGCAATTTATCCATACTACTGAGTGTAGTTTTATTGGGGGAACCTGCCCCCAATATTTCAATGTAAGTTTTTTCTATTTTCCCTAAGTGTCACCCAGACTGAAAAATAAAGAGAAAGAGTACAAAGAGAGGAATTTTACAGCTTGGCCGCCGGGGGTGACATCACATATTGGTAGGTCCATGACGACCACCTGAGCCGCAAAACCAGCAAGTTTTTATTAGGGATTTCAAAAGGGGAGAGGGTGTACCAACAGGGAGTAGGTCACAAAGATCACATGCTTCTGAGGAAATAGCGCAAGGACAAAAGCAAAGATCAAAAGGCAAAGCGCAAAATTAGAATTACTGATGAGGGTCTATGTTCAGCTCTGCACGTATTGTCTTGATAAACATCTTAAACAACAGAAAACAGGGTTCAAGAGCAGAGAACCAGTCTGATCTCAAATTTACCGGGGAGTGGTTTTTCCCCCACCCTAATAAGCCTGAGGGTACTGCAGGAGACCAGGGCATATTTCAGTCTTAACCACACAAGACAGACACTCCCAGAGCAGCCGTTTATAGACCTCCCCCAAGGAAAGCAATTCTTTTCCCAGAGTATTAAATATCAACATTCCTTGCTAGGAAAAGAATTTAGCGATATCTCTCCTACTTGCACGTCCATTTATAGGCTCTCTGCAAGAAGAAAAATATGGCTCTTTTTGCCCAACCCCGCAGGCAGTCAGACCTTATGGTTGTCTTCCCTTGTTCCCTAAAATCACTGTTATTCTGTTCGTTTTCAAGGTGCACTGATTTCATATTGTTCAAACACACGTTTTACAGTCAGATTTCATATTGTTCAAACACAGATGTTTTATAATCAATTTGTACAGTTAACGCAATCATCACAGTGTCCTGAGGTGATGTACATCCTCAGCTTACGAAGATAACAGGATCAAGAGTTTAAAGTAAGACAGGTTTAAGAAATTATAAGAGTATTATTAGGGAAGTGATAAATGTCCATGAAATCTTCATAATATTTGTTCCTCTGCCTCGGCTCTAGCTGGTTCCTGCGTTCGGGGTCCCGGACTTCCTGCAACATAGTTTACTCCTTTTTATTGTTGAGTGTTTTTCCACAATAAGGCTATATCACAGTTTATTCTTTCAACTGTTGATAGCTTTGAATTGTTGCCAGTTTTGGGCTACTACAAATGAAACTGTTATAAACATTTGTATATAAATCTTTGTGTGGATATATGCGGTCATTTCTCTTGGGTAAATACCAAAGAGTAGAATGGTTAGGTCATATGGTAGGTGTATATTTAACTTTTTAAGAAACTGCCAAAGTATTTTCAAAAGTAGTTATACCATTTACATTCCTACAAGCAGTGTATGAGAGTTCAGTTCCTACATATCAAGATATGCATACTTGGTATGGTCAGCCTCTTAAGTTTTAGCCTTTCAGCTGCATAATGATATCTCATTGTGGTTTTAATTTGCATTTCCCTAATGACTAATGATGTTAACAGTCTTTTCATGTGTTTATTTGGCATCTATAAATCTTTTGTGGTGAAGTGTCCATTTAAATATTTTGTCCATTTTTATTGGTTGTGTTTTATTCATTTAGAGGTGAGAGATCTTTACATATTAACGATTTATATAATTTTTAAGATACATGTTTTGCAAATAGTTTTTTCTAGTCCTTGATTCACCTTTTCCCTCCCCTCCCCTCCCCTTCCCTTTCTTTCTTTTTTTCTTTTATTTTTTTGAGAAGGAGTCTTGCTCCATTGCCCAGGCTGGAGTGCAGTGGCACAATCAAGGCTCACTGCAAACTCCACCTCCTGGGTTTAAGCGATTCTCCTGCCTCAGCCTCCTGAGTAGCTGAGATTATAGGCATGCACCACCACACCTGGCTAATTTTTGTATTTTTAGTAGAGACAGGGTTTCACCATGTTGGTCAGGCTGGTCTCAAACTCCTGACCCCATGATCCACCTGCCTCGGCCTCCCAAAGTGCTGGAATTACAGGTGTGAACCACCATGCCCGGCCATCACCTTTTCATTTTCATAGCAGTGTCTTTTCAAGAGAAAAAGTTTTTAATTTTGATGAAGTCCAAGTAATTTATTTTTTTTTTAGAGTTTGTGCTTTTAGCATATATATTTTTTTCTTACTTATCTTTAGAAACTACGAAAGCTTTTGGGCTATATTTTAAAAATATTTTCCAAACCCAAGCTCACTCAGAATTTCTGCTAAAGTTTATTCTAATGTTGCATATATTTAATTCTTAAACTTTTCTTGAAAAATAAATGTAATCTCCCCTCCCCTCCGTTGTTTTTTTTTTTTTTTTTTTTGAGATGGAGTTTTACTCTTGTTGCCCAGGCTAGAGTGCAATGGCTTAATCTCAGCTAACTGCAACCTCTGCTTCCTGGGTTCAAGTGATTCTCCTGCCTCAGCCTTCCAAGTAGCTGGTATTATAGGCACCTTCCGCCATGCCCAGATAATTTTTGTATTTTTAGTAGAGATGAGGTTTCGCCTTGTTGACCATGCTGGTCTTGAACTCCTGACCTCAGGTGATCTGCCTGCCTCAGCCTCCCAAAGTGCTGGGATTACAGGTGTGAGCCACCGTGGCCAGCCTTATAATCCTTTTTAAATTAATATTTGTATTTGGTGTGAATTGAAGATCAAGGTAAATTTTTGTGTATAATTACCCAGTTGTTCCAGCACCATTTATTGAAGTGATTATTTCATCCACTGAATTGACTTGGTACTATTTATTAAAGTCAATTAACAATGTATGTGTAAATCTGGATCATGGCAGATGGGAGGCAAGACTATATTGCAGCCTGGACTTGCACAGACAGAGTAGCATGTGAAGGATCCCAATGTGATTTTTTCCTCCAGAATGACTGCAGGAATAAATCAGAAAACCTGAGAGGACCCACAGACCCTCTGAAGGAAGCAGATTGCTTCTGCAGGACCTGGGAGACACCCCAAATACTGTGAGTGCCTAAACTGTGGAAGTGGGAAAGGGAGATCATCTGCCCCCAAACACACACCTGCACTGGGGAAACTGAAGGTCTAGATTACCGGAGAAGATTCTGACCTCACCTGGAGCTGAGTCAATTGAGAAAGCCAAGTGAAATACAGGGGTAGAGGAAGCAGCAGGGAAAGCCCTGTGAATTTGGTGGGTCCCCTAGCAAGCCATTTCTGCCTGGCCTCACAGGGGTCCTTTGGGAGGGTGGCCTGAGGCACTGGGAAAAGGCCACAGGGAAAAGGAAATCTCCAGCTGAACTTTGTAACAATTTGAACTGATCGAGAAGCCTCTTGGCCAGAACTCAGGGGAGGGCAGACTCCACAGGCTGGGGAAGAAGGAAAGCCATACTTGCTTTTGCAGCTGAGAGGTGGGTAGCCTGGGGCAAGTTCTCACCCCTGCTCACCCACTGCCTGGAAACAGACTCGGTGCTGTCACGGGTAGGTGGGGCATGGTGGGAGTGAGACAGGCCCTTCGGTTTGCATGGGAGCTGGGTGAGATCTATGACTGCTGGCTTTCCCCCACTTCTCTGGCAACCTGCACGACATAGTAGAGGCAGCCATAATCCTCCTAGGAACATAACTCCATTGACCTGGAAACCTCACCCCATCCCCCACAGGAGCCACAGCAAGACCTGCCCAAGGAGAGTCTAAGCTCAGACACACCTAGCCCTGACTCACCCAATGGCCCTTCCCTACCCACCCTGGTAACTGAAGACAAAGGGCATATACTCTTGGGAGTTCTAGGGCCCCATCCACCACTGTTCCCTCTCCACACTGCTACAGCTGATGCTTTCTAGAAAGCACCACCTCCTGGCAGGAGGCAACTAGCACAAAAATAGTGGATTAGACAACCAAAACTAAGGACCCTCACAGAGTCCATTTCACTCCCCTGCCACCTCCACCGGAACAGGTGCTGGTATTCACGGTTGAGAGACCTGCAGATGGTTCACGACACAAGACTCTGTGCAGACAACAATGTATGTCTAAGTCTGTTTTTGTTTGAATTATTTTGGCTTTTGTGTGTCTGAGAGAAAGTATTTCATCTTAGAGTCTGAAAGTTTTTTTTACTGATTATAGAATTTTAGCTTTTTTTTTTTTTCTTTTAATACCTCAGAGCTGTTGCTCCACTGTTTTCTGGCTTGCAACATTTTAAGTGAAAAGTTTCCTTCATTCTTTTGTTTTTGTTCTACATGTAATATGTCTTATTTTTCTGGCTGCTTTTAAGATTTTCCATTTATCACTGGTTTTGAGCAATTGGATTGTGATGCTGTTTTGCAGTAGTTTTCTTTGATTCTTGTGCATGAGATTCATTAAACTTCTTGGATATGTGGGTTTATAGCCTTCTTCAGTTTTTGAAAAATTTTGATCATTATTTCTCCAAATAGCCTTTGTTCCCCCTTAACCCTTTTGTGGACTTCAATTACATACAAATTAGGATTCTTGGAGTTGTTCCATAGCTCCTTGATGCAGTTTTTTTTGTCAGTCTTTTTCCTTGTGTATTTCACTTTGGGTAGTTTCTATGTCTTCAAATTTACTAATATTTTCTTCTGCAGTGTCTAATCAACTATTAATACCAGTGTAATATTAAGCAGTGCAGTTTTCATCTCAGATTTTGTTTTCTTCATCCCCAGAAGTTTGGAATTGGGTCTTTTTCCTATCTCTCATGTCTTTCCTCAACATGCTCTTCTACTTTCTTAAACTTATAAAATACAATTGTTACAACTCTAAAAATATCTTTATCTACTAATGCTTATCATTGTCATTTCTGGGTCTGTTTCTGTTGTTTGGCTTTTCTCCTTATTTTGAACTGTATTTTTTCCGCTTTTTATGTCTGGCAATTATTTTTATTGAATGACACATGGTAAATTTTACCTTGTGGATGCTGGATATTTAAAAAATTTCTTTAAATATTCTTGCTCTTGGTTCTTGCACTTTGGGTCACATTTCAATTACTTATAAAGTTTGGTCCTTTGAAGATTTGCTTTTGTAAAATGTGAGACCAGAGCAACTTTTATTCCAGGTCTAATTTTGCCTCATTACTGAAGCAATATTCTGAGGCCTGTGTATTACAAGGTTTTTTCCAGTTTGACTGGTGGGACAACAAATTATTTCTGGCCCTATATAATCACTGGCATTATTCCACCTGAAGCTTTCTAGTGTTTCCTTTTTTTCCCTCCTGCCTCAGGTAGTTTCTGCACATGCAGAGGGTGAGCAATACTCAGTTAAAGGCTTGAAGGGAGCCCTCTAGACATTTCTGGGACTCTTTCTATGTGTAGCTCTCTCCTCTCTGGACAAGTCCTTCCTTTTCTGCAGTTTCCTGTGCAAACTTCTAGCCACTTTGGCCTCCTCCAGTTCTTAGCTGACTCCTCAATTCAGAGATACCATAGAGCTGTTTGGCACTCTACCCTTCCCTCCCAACACTACAACCTGGAAAGTCTCTCTAGAAAGTAAGCTGCTTAATTGTTGGTCTCACATCACTTGTTTGCCTTTTCTCAGGGATTACTGCCCCATGCTGCTTGTTGCCCAATGTCTGAAACAAGTAGTTTTATGTATTTTACCCGTTATTTTCTACTTGGTTGAGTTGAAAGGGCAAATTGCATCCCTATTACTCCATTAAGATTAAAAGCAGAAATCCCTTTTTTTAATATCCTGTTTATACAAGTTTGGGGATTGTCTCTACAATATCTCAGTCAAGCCAGATGTCTTAAACATTCTAGTTAAGAAACATCTGGTACTTATCAGAGATAAAGATAGTTGAAATATTTTTCAGTTGCTAACTTGTAGCATAAACTTTTGATTACATATTACTTCACCATTCTCTGGGTTCATATTCTTTTTTTAAATTTTTTAATTTTTTTAGTAGAGACAAGGTCTTACTATGTTGTCCAGGCTGGTCTCAAACTCCTGAGTGCAGATGATCCTCCTGCCTTGGCCTCCCAAAGTGTTGGGATTACAGGCATGAGCCACCACACCCAGCCCATATTCTTTTTAAAAATATTTATTTATTTATATTTTGAGACAGGATCTTACTCTGTTGCCCAGGCTGAAGTGTCGTGGTGTGATCATGGCTCACTGCAGCTTCAACTTCCCCAGGCTCAAGTCATCCTCTGATCTCAGCCTCCCAAGTAGCTGGGACTGTGAGCCTGTAGTAAGCCTGGCTAATTTTGTATTTTTTGTAGAAATGGGGTTTTGCTATGTTGCCCAGGCTGGTTTCAAACTCCTGGGTTCAAGTGATCTGCCCACCTTGGCCTCTCAAAGTGCTGGGATTACAGGTGCGACCCATTATACCTGGCCTCTTTTTTCTAGGGTGCAAAAGTAACACACAAGAATAATTGATAATGAAATATTTTGAAGTAAATTATAGATATTGTACCCTTTCCCCCAAAACAACTGCTAGTGCATGTGATCTTGGGTCTCAGTGGCCACATCCTTACCAGCAGAGCCCCGGCCATTGGCTCCTTTTTCTCATCGATACTCTTAGATGCTGGAGCCAGAACCACATGTAGAAATGACAGAGAGGGCGTGTGCAGAACAGTGCAAAAGCTCCTGAGCAGCAGCCATGCCTCACCTTCTGTGGAGGTGTCTGTTATAACAAGTGGCCCTTAGGTCAATATTCACAAACCTCTTCTTGCTTAAGTGACTGATGATTTAAATAGATATTTTGCTTTGAGAAAATCTGCAAAGTAGTTTATTCCTGAAGGAAAAGAGAGGAGAGAATAGTCTAACACTAACTCCAGAATCTCTTTCCCCAGGTCAGGTGGGAGTTCAGCGAGGAAACCAACTCTTTTTAATAGGGAGACATTTCTGTGGGCCTCAAAGCCCAGATCCTTCCCCAGAATGTTCCCCACTAGTTCATCCTCCCACACACCCATACTCTAATCAAGTATTTATTCACCAGGCTCATCTTTGAGGGAAATGCAGAAATGAATAAAGCATATTCTCTGCACCTACCGTTTATAATCAAGTAGAAAATCAATCATCAGCATCTAATGAACTCGAATCTCACTGTATGAAACGCAGCTCAGTTGCCTGCTTTCTAATTCCCTACTTGGTGGCATCACTCGTTTTTGTGAGTTCTTCACAGACTTCCCTCTGCCTTACATAGTAACCTGTGTATTCAATCAACATAACCAGTGTACCTGATTTTCTCACACTAGCTTTCAAAGACTGCATCAGGCTATTCAGAGATATATCACCACTCTTGCCTTCAAAAGCTGAATCACAACACCTTAATCTGATTCTGGCTACTACTTTACTCTAGGAAGTAGTAGCTAAATCAGTACAACCCTTTGATCTTGGAGGCCTCCGAAGAGACTTGGTGCAGATTTCAGGTGAGAGCAAAACAAGTAACTCACAGTATGTCAAGTGTTATCTGTAACACACAGAGGGACTATAAAGTAGCAAAGGAGGCCTCCCTACCCTGCCCCTGGCAAGATGGGCACCATTTTTAGAGCATGGCAGTGATGGATAAAGGCGTTAGCAGAGGCAGGAATGCCTGAGAGCAGAGTCTGCATTTCTGTGCTCCAAAGAATCAAAGTGCTGCAAATGCTCATCTGTGGCTGTGGAGATAACCTACACTTCTCTCTAGCAGTGTGGTCAAGCTGTATTGAGACTCAACAAAACCATAGGAAATCTTTAATCTTAATCTAGGTTTAACTTCAAAGCTGATTTTTTGTTAATGTGTATCTTTTAAAGTCACCTTTTTTTTTTTTGAGAAAAGTTCTCGCTCTATTGCTCAGGCTAGAGTGTAGTGGTGCGATCATGGCTCACTTCAGCCTCTAACTCCCAGGCTCAAGAAATTCTCCCACCTCAGCCTCCTGAGTAGTTGGGACTACAGGCATGCACAACCATGCCCAGCTATTTTTTTTTTTTTTTTGGTAGAGAAGGGGTCTCCCTATGTTGCCCAGCCTGATCTTGAACTCCTGGGCTTAAGTGATCCTTCTGTTTCAGCCTCCCAAAGTGCTGGAATGACAGATGTGAGTCACTGCATCTGGCCCAAAATCATTTTATCTTGAGGAGAAATATGTACTGTCCATTGACATGCAGTTGTTGGAGCACTTGGGGTCCTTGCTTCCTCAACTCCAGGAAAAGATCTTTAACATGAATAGTGGTATGCATGCATCTGCTTGCTTCTAGGCTAGGTGTCCTTGACCACGTTTTCCCTCCATAATTTTTCTAATGGTCAATAGATATTTAGTGAGGAGGTGAATGAATAGACCCATTGTGATATATCTATACAATAGAATACAACTCAGAAATAAAAAGGACCAATGTATTGGCACACAATATCCACAGATCTCAAGTGAGTATGCCAAGTTAAAGAAGGCAGACAAAAGTGAGTGCATACTGTAGACTCTACATAAAATTGTAGAAAATGAAAACCCATCTACAGTAACAGACAACAGAACAGTGGCTATCTGTGGTTGGTGAGACATGGGAGAATGGGATTACAAAGGGGCAGGAGAAAGTTTCTGGTACATATATGTCAAAATTTATTGTGATGATTATTTAACAGGTATATTCATCTCAATATTTATAAAAGTGTGCACTTTAAATATGTTCGGCTTATCCTATGTTAAATTATACCTCAATGAAGCTGAAAAAAAAGAGTGGGTACCAGTATGATACAGTTATTCACTGATAACGACAACTTGGTCAACAATGGACTGCATATATGACTGGTCTCCTTAGATTATAATGGAGTTGCTCTATAATGGTGTGCCACATTCTATCTTTTATACTGTATTTTAACTGTACTTTTTCTATATTTAGATATGTTCAGATACACAAATACTTCCCATTGTGTTACAATTGCTTACAGTATTCAGTACAGTAACATGCTATATAGGTTTGTAGACTAAGAGTCATAGTTCATATCATGTATCCCAGGTGTGCAGTAGACTATACCATCTAGGTTTCTATAAGTTGTTAGGTGACTTCATCATTGTCAATGATGAAAATAACTTACAGACACATTTTACATAGAGCATCTCCATTAAGTGACACATGACTGTATATTGTTACTGCTACCTGAACTAATCTCATTTACTCACTTCAAACTTTCTTGAGGGCACAGCTGATGTCTTCCTCTCGGTGATCCCAGGAGGATACCAAAGAGCAGTGAAAAATAGAGGCAGTGGCCCTCTCAGATCACAGTAGAACTCCCTGACCCTCAGCTGGTCTCCCGCTCTGAGTAGGAGAGGCACACTCCAGGCTCTCTTAGGCTTCTGGTTGAACTCAGTGAGTTAAGAGAACATAAAGAATGGGGTAAACTAGGACTGTGGATGTTCCTTGGTACACTCATCTCTTCCTGACAACACTCTCCATGAGGGAATTTCTAATCTGGACAGATTTCAAGGACGTCGATCACACTGCATTTATTGGTATGTGGAGTTATTTTTCTTAACTGATCAGACTCAGTCTTTGGTGTCACTCTTCCATTTTTGTCTTCCATGCAGCTTAGTATGAAGAGCCAGGACTCCTTTCCAGCTCTTACTCCAGTTTGAGCTATTGAATAACGGCTCCTTTCTCACTTGATTTCAAAGATAATATGCTGTCTTGGGTCTCCTCTTGCCTCATTGCTCACTCCTTGGTCTTTAGTGATTTCTCTTTATTTCCTGTAATTCTAAATATTGCAGTACCTCAGAGTTTAGTCCCCATGTCTACTTTCTTGTCTACTGAATTCACTCACAGGTACTCTCATCCATGTAACTACTATGACTTCCAAATGGATACTTCCAACCTGGACTTCTATGTGAAACTCAGTCTCGTATATCCAACAATCTACTTGACATTTCCATTTGGATATCTAAGAGACATCTAAACATGTCTCAAACCTCCCATCTTCCCCATCTTAATTACTGGCAATGCTAAACCTTTTAGTCATGTGTGATTTCTTGCTTTCCCTCGTGCCACACATCCAAATAATCAGAAAATCCTGTTGGGTCTACCTTCAGAATAAATCCAGAATCTGATTAATTCTCCCTGTCTTTTGCTACCACTTGATCTAATCCACCATTTCCTCTTACTTGGGTTAATCCAACAACCTCCTAACTGCTCTCTGTGCATCTGCGTTTATCTCTCTGCAGTCATTCTCAACCCAGCACCCAAAGAGATCCTTTTAACTCCTAAGTCAGTTCTTGTCACTCCTCTATTCAGAATCCCCAGTGCTTCTTAACTTCCTCAGGGTTTCAGAGTTCTCACTATGGTCTCTAAGAACATACACAACCTCCCCACTTCTACCATCATTCTACTCTTGTCCACACACTCCAGCCATGCCAAACTCCTTGCTTTTCTTGGGCTCTCTAAGCATGTTTCTACATATTCCCAATGGAAGGTCTTTTCTATTACTGTTTTCTCAGCCTGGAATATTCTTCTCCTAGATATCTATTTTGCTCAGGTTCTTACTTGCTTCAGGTTGCTGCTAATATCATCTTATTAGAGAGACCACTCTTGACCCCCTCATATAAAATTGTAACCTACCCCCCTCAATCACTCCCTGTTCTCCTTAGCCTGCTTATTGTTATCCATTGCATTTATCACTGTAGCACATATTCTATATTTACTTGCTTATTTTCTACCTCCCACAAGCTCACACTAGAGTGTATGCATGCATGTATGAGAAAAGAGACTCTATTTTATTCACTGCTCCATTCCCAGTGCCTAGACATAGTAGACAGTCAATAATATTTGTTGAATAAATAGAGTATTTTCTTTTTGCTAAATGGGTAGTACTGAAATTGTCCCTGATACATTTCATCCTTAATTTCTTCCTGTCTATGGGAAAAAATGGGCACGCTATTCTTCAACTCAGATTTAATCTTTAAGGTTGAATGAAAGAAAAGGGATAGTGTCCATGTGGTTCAGGACCAATATAACACCAGTATGATAATGGTAAGAGCCACAGCTATCAGCTTGGACACTTTTGCCCAGTTGCACCAAAAACTACCATACATTGGCATTTAGTTGGCTAAGTTCCAGAATATAATAGATAAATGTGTCATTATAGGCCTCCCTAATTTCCAAAAAATTCTACAGCATCTCTACCAAGCTTTCAATTGTTATAAAGAATGAGAACAGACTAAGACATTTGATAGTTTAATAAAATTTAGAAGCAATCTCAAACTTACAGCAAAGTTGGAAGTGGAGTTAAAAAAAAGAGACTTTCGTGGTCTCAGTAACTTGAGAGAATTCTTGTGAGATCTGGTTGCAGAAAGATTTAAAAGAAAATAATACATGTGGCAACAGTATTTAAATATGATGTTTGAAGTCACTACTTTTTGAGTTTCAGGTGGAATTAAGGTCTAACTACTCTTGAAAACGTCAGATGAAGATTTTTCTCCCTTCTACCCTTTGACCTGCTTGGGAGAAACACCTTAAAAACTGTAATGTTCAACACAATGATTATTGCTGTGAGATGATGATTGTGGTGTTTAGGCAGAATTAACAGATGTAAAGTCTCTTTTTGTGGCATATTCATTTGTGATTCTTAGGTCCAACTCAGGGTTTTTTGGGCCACTGTCAATTTATTTTTTGTCTTTCCAATGCTAATGACAGCTCCGAAAGATGCATTAAGCTAATTTTCCTTGAACTTCAGCCATCCCTTGTGATCCTAACGGTTTATTAGGAAAGTATGAACATTTTTTATGCCTTATTTGCTAATGAAACAGAGGGAGCTCTTTGTGAGGTATCTTAGATCTTGGGTCACAAATTGCATTTTTACATGGAAAAATACTATAATGAACTAAACTACCACCCAAGGCATTCTGATGATGTCTATATGTCAGTGTTCTAATCCTCTTCACTCTTTGTGGATGAGGACATTACTAGGGGCCTGAAGTAAAACAGACCTATATTTGAATTGACTTAGTGGTTTTGCTACATCTTTTAACTTCTCTGAACTTTAGTGCTTCATCCTGATTTTACTTTCACAGCCACTTAATCCTAGGCAAGTTACTTAACCTTTCAGTGTCTGTTTCCTCATCTATAAAATGAAGATACTAATGGTACCCACATAATAAGTTTTTTATGAAGTTTAAGTAAAGCAATACCCATATAGTCTTTAGCACAGAGCCAAGCATATAGTCAGCATGTAATAAATGCTTGCTATTCTTAGCTATCATTCAACTCTGGAATCTTGCATGGTTTTGTAGTGTTTCCTCAAGGGCAGCATGTTTGTATAAGCTCAGAGGTAGTTTGGATACTATGCAGTGATTCACAGTTCTGCTATCTACAGTGGGCAGGAGAGGTAGTTGGCTTTTTTATTGCTACCAACCTTGGTCACCAAGGGGATTTGTTACCTTTTCTCATTAAGCAGAAGCAAAGTTGAGGAGGATTAAGTCTCTCTACGCTGAGGTAACTCCAAGCTTTGGAGAGATTTTTGTAAATTCTGGAAAGAGTAGGAGGAACGTTAGAATAGTAGCAGAATGTATATTTGTGCTAAGTCATGTTGAGAACGTGCTAAAGTTGGAGACATGAATTGATAGTTGCACAATTAGATGCAATTATGTGAGTTTTTTCAACAGCACTTGGAAACAGAGAGCAGAGAAAATCAGCAGCTAGGGTAAAACAGAGTTAGATTTTGATGAGGAAGATATGAGATGTTGAATGTACTGGTTTAAGGAGGTGGATCAAAGGGTATGACTGGGCAAAAAAGGTGGTGAGTCCAGAGAGATGCTGATTATTAGAAAACCAAAGATGGGGAGATCAAGGAACTAGAAGTTCCTACTAGGCTGAAGATCCGAGGTACTGGGTATAAAGGTTTGGAAGGGCTGGCAGAATACAAAGTGTTGGTGGGATTTTATAATTTTAATATTTCAGTCTTGGTTGACTTATGGATAATAGATATTCCTGGTTATGGTCTTGAGAGTAGATGGGAGAAAGAATAAGGGAAATGCCATTAGAGTTGAAGAGGCTAAACTGTGAAGCCAGAGTGTTCAGTGTATCATCCCTGATATTGGTGGAACTCAGCAGTTCTCCAGAGTTCTTCAGGTTTCTGCCTGAGAGACAAATCTCTTCTCCAGGACCTGGGAGCTAGGAGTGATCTTGCCCTTTGGACAAGATCTTGCTTGCTATTAAAAGGAGCAGCAGGAGAAAAAAAGGTGGAAGAAGAAGAGTGACAGAAGAGTACAAGGAGGAGAGAGAAACAAGGAAAGGGTGAAGGGAAGCAAAGAAGAAGGGGAAGAGGAAGAAAAGAAAAGAAGCAAAAAGAATTCTAGCCCAAAGTTGTTCTTCAATGCCCTTGCAAATGCAGGTCATCATGCCTGTGTTATCTGAATGTCTTTTAACTCCAGTTGTGATCCTGCTTCCTAATGTTTACGTAACAGAAAAAAGGCTCAGAGTAGTTCTTTTACTTGCTTGTGACAACAAAACATGTTCTGTTACACGTAAAGGGGATTTAAGGTTGCAGATGGAATTAAGGTTGCTAATCAGCTGATTAGGAGAGTGTCCTGGTTAACCAGGATGAGTCTAATGTAATCGCAAGGGTCCTTATAAGTGGAAAAGGGAGGAAGAAGAGTGATGTGATGTGAGAAAGACTCAAAGGGCCATTGCTAGCTTTGATGGGGGAAGAGGGCCATGAGCTGAGGAATTCAGGCAGCCTCTAGAAGTTGGAAAAGGCAAGACAACAGATTCTCCCCTAGAGTCTTCAGAAATGAATGCAGCTGTGCTAACTCCTTGATTTTAGCCCAGTGAGACCAGTTTCAGATCAGAACTGTCACATAAGAAATTTGAGTTGTTTCAAGCCACTGAATTTATGGTAACTTGTAACACCAAAAATAGGAAACTAGCATATACCTCTCAAAGTCTTGGTGCCCATGTGTTCCACATCTGAGAGGACCACCTTGCTTTCAGACCACTGAGTTTGCCTTGGAGGCTCTGTCCCTATACAAGGTTGAGTAAGCTGGTATCCCAGAACTCTTGATTAACACATGTGGTTGGCTGGCAGCCAGGGAAAAGTCAATATTGGGGGCCGAATTCTTCCTGAATGGAGTAAGGAGGCCTGTTTCAGCTCAGAGGTGAAAAATCTTGGCTGGATTAGCCCAGTAAATTCTCAAGATGCCTGGCAAGCGTCCTGGATTGTGGCATTCTCTGACCGATGTAAAAGCTTGAGCCTCTGAATGAATGGACGCCCTCTCCAGGGTAGCCAGTTCAGGGAAACTGGGGAGATACCTTAACACCTTCCTGGGTTGACTTAATTCCTGGTTTCCTTTTGAGTGAATGGAGGTGGGCTAGGAAAGATGGGGTTCTAGAATCAGAAGAGCCGCACAGAGATCTGCAGACTCAGAGGGGCCCACAGGCATTTGCAGCAGTCACCTCATTGCACAGCTGAGGGGGCTTGTCTGAGGTCACATTAGCAGATTAGCGCAGCCCATTTCCCTTTGTGTGACTTGGCAAAGAGAAAAATCGCCTATTAGTTTTTCCAGTGGAAGAGAATCCCAGAGCGGTCCGAGTGGGTGAGGAGTCTTGATAGAGCGATGTTGGGAAAAGTTCAGGAACTTGGAGGAGAACAGCAGGGGAGGGGGCAGCGCTGAGCGCGGAAGGATGGAGGGAGTGGGGCCCCCCTCTGCCTCAACTCTGTTCTCCTCATTTTGAGCTTGTATTTAAGCACGCCGGGGGGCTGGCCTGGGGGCCTCTCACTCGCAGCTTCCTCCAGTGCCTCCCAGGGCGGCTCTCCCGGGTCTCCCCTATTTGGCCGGCTCGGCCAGCTGGGCCTGGCGTTCGGGGCGGGGCCGGAGGAGCGCGGGGGTGGGAGTCCGGGAGGAAGATGCACCGAGCGGGCGGGCTGCGAGGCCGCGGGGCATGCGGGAGGCGGAGGGGTGGGGACCGGGGTGGGCTGCGCCCTCCCGCTCTGGCCCATTCCACACCCCGCCGAAAGCGGACACTGTCAGCTGAATCACTCCCCTTTTAGGAGGAGGGAGGGGAAAAAGGTGTCTAGCTCCTTTCTGCTTAAAAAAGCACAGGGAGATCGCGGGCAGCTTTGCAGTCGCTGCCTTCTCGCGCCTGACCATGCACCCCTGCATCTTCCTGCTGGGCCACAGGCGAGCGCTTTATTTCTGGAGCTGAGGGCTAAAACTTTTTTGACTTTTCTTCTCCTCAACATCTGAATCATGCCATGTGCCCAGAGGAGCTGGCTTGCAAACCTTTCCGTGGTGGCTCAGCTCCTTAACTTTGGGGCGCTTTGCTATGGGAGACAGCCTCAGCCAGGCCCGGTTCGCTTCCCGGACAGGAGGCAAGGTTAGTGACTCTTCTTTATTTCTTTTTAAAACAGTGGTGGTAAGACTTGCGGGAATTTTGTTGCTCCCCTTTCCCTTCCCCCACCCGGCAGAACTGAACTCTGAAAAGCCATTTGGCTGCGTTGTAAGGAAATCTGGGCTGGGACCTCAGGAGCCTAGGCTTTCTCAGAATTCAGTGCTTAAGGTGATGAGTCCTTCATTCTTATAGAAAGGTGAGTACCTCACTCTTTTACAGGGATGACACTGCAGTCTTTAAAAGACCCAAGAGGTAGCTGGTAACTTTTTCTCTTTTGTCTCCTCTTTGAATGCTGTACTGTTTTGATCCCCTATTTTTCAGACTCTAAACATGGAAAATTATTTTTTTTAAGTGCTAACTGGCTACTGGCCGTCATTGCAGTGTTTCTAGTTAGTTTTAAACCTCTGGTCAGGAAAGGGGAAATGTGATTCTTCCCCCCTACTGAGCAGGCTTGGCTGTGTTTTGGTTTCCTGGAAAGATTTAGGGTTGTATTTTTGAAAGAATAGTCCTTTTGGGGGAACTATACCTCCATAAGGGCTCACTTTTTCCTGTCCTGTCTCACTGACCACAGCTGGCTGCTTCTCTTTATGAATTTCTGAACTCATGTTATTGTAGGAAGCATTGGAAGCGTTCTGGTGGACAATTTGTTGTTGTTGTTTTATTCTTTTAAGCCTAACAGTCAGCAGTTTATTGGACTTGGAAGGGTCAGAGGCACCTTCATGTTTGGTGGGGGGTTCATTGTACCTCTGGGGGTAAACAGTCCTAGCAGCAGCAATGGCCCGCGTGGCACTCTGTGTCAGCCCATCCGATCACTGGCAATAGCCTTCCAGGGTGCAGGTACCAGTGTTGCTGTCCCTGCTGTACAGATGAGGATGCTGCAGCTTGGAGAGCTTATGAGGCCAGCTAATGTAGAGCAGAGTTTTCAGCTCAGGTAGTCTGACTCTTAGAATCATGCAGCACTGTCCTGTAGCAATAATAGGGACACACACGCACACACACACGCATATGCACCCACACGCATGCACACGCACACAGAGCACTGGGTTAGCATGCACTAAGTCCTGTGTTTGCTGACTGTGCTGAAGCCTCGGGAAGTGTCCTCCATGACTTTCTGACATCCCTTTAATTCCCAAGGCCACTCGGGTGATAAACATCACCAGCCTGTCCTTGTTTAGGATTTCTAAGCAGGGTTTTCTGCTCATGTTGTAAAATTCAAATATTGCTGGACAACTCATCTGCTGTGGCTTCAAGACGTATCAGAAGCAAGTCCCTCTCTTTGCTTTACTTGGAAAGCTGGAGCCAGCAAACACTGGGGTTAGATGTCAGTCAGCCAGCACTCACTTGTGTAAACGGTCCAGATACAATCTCCCACCCCCAAGTTTAAAATAGCAGGGCTTGTTGTTCTTTGAAAAACAGTTCCTTTGTGAAAAGTCTCCCTTCTGGGGCAGCACAAACAAAGCCTGCAAGCACTTCCCAGGGCATTTGGAGATGATTTCGTTCAAAGACACACATTCTCCTGGGTTGGTTTTCAGCTCTGCTCCACATCTTCTTTGTAAGGGAATTCAGCTTGGTGTGAAGCAGACACCACGGGGCCATGGTTTTTGCTCTCTGGAAAGTGAGATATGATTATTTTCCCTAGTCACCTCTATCTAGAGCTATGTGCTGAGAGTATCCACTGTTCAAAAAACCTATAAAGTGCTCCAAGCTTATTGGTGATATATATATTTATTTAGGTTTAAAAATAATTAGAGGTTTTTGTTTTTCGAGGCCGAGTCTTGCTCTGTCTCTCAGGCTGGAGTGCGGTGGTGCAATCTCAGCTCACTGCAACCTCTGCCTCCCGGGTTCAAGTGATTCTCCTGCCTCAGCCAACCAAGTACCTGGGATTACAGACGTGTGCCACCATGCCCGGCTAATTTTTGTATTTTTAGTACAGACGAGGTTTCACCATGTTGGCCAGGCTGTCTCCAACTCCTGACCTCAGGTGATCTGCCCACCTTGGCCTCTTAAAGTGCTGGGATTACAGGTGTGAACTACTGTACCCAGCCAATAATTTCAGTTTTTAAAAGCATTTCACCAACCACAATCAATTCCCTAGTGGATTTACAAATAATCCACATTTGGTGCAAAGGAGAAATTTCTAAGCAGACTTACATTTAGAATTAAGAAGGAAAGTCAGAAAGAGGGAGGAAGGGGTGGATGAGGGCAAACCAGTAGAGAATGAAATTCTAAGGCTATCTGGGATTAGGATGGCCTGGGTTTTTCCCTCCAAATGACCTACCTACAGCCTCACAAATAACCAATCTCCTTAGACTTCCATTTCCACTTTGATAGCATTTTTGAATGCATTCAAATCCTGAACGTTTAAACTTGCAAATTACTTCAGGATCATCTCACCCATTCTTATTTTTGAAATATTTAATTTTTTTTTTTAATAGAGATGAGGTCTAGCTATGTTGTCCAGACTGATCTTGAACTCCTGGCCTTAAGCAATTCTCCCACTTCAGCCTCCCCAAATGCTGCGATTACAGGAATGAGCCATCATGCCTGGCCCCCATTTTTACTTTTATGGATAAGGAATGGGAGGTCTAGGGCATCAGTTAGTCAACATATATGATTGAGCACCTAATAAATGCCCCTTCACGAGGAGGGTAAAGGGAATTGCACAGGGTTCCACATTTGGAGACAGATTCAGACACTACATTACCTTTTAGGTTCCTTCTAGTTCTAAGAGTTGGGCTAAGTCAGGATTTTAGTCGTTGGAAGGAGTATGGAGATAAATCCAGTCCTTTCTGGGACTAGAAACATAGAAACAGGCTATTTGACTAACTGCCCAGTATTCTTTCCACATTGCTCAGTTGTGATATAGGAATGTGCTGTGACTTACACAGGATTTCTTGGTTCACAACCAAGTATCAGAACAACGGGAAATATTAATCTTGCACACAACATGCTGCGTGTCTTCTACAGCCAATCATATCCCCTTAGGTTTGTTTACCCCTATGCTGTTTACAAAGCGCCAGTCTGTTCCATGACCTCTTTTGCTCCTGACATCTCTGTGAAATCAACAGGACAGTCACTTTATTCCATATTAGAGATGAACTCCAGGCTTGTGCAAGAAACAGAGGGAATGTTGCAGTGTTTTCAGATAAGAGTTTTAATTATTTATGTATTCTATTAAAAAAATTCTGCAAGGAGGAAAGGATTTCAGCTATTTTCTTAATGTAAAAAGAGAGTTCACAGATTTGATATTTTGTGTTGATTATAATAATCTATACAGTTAGCACATTAGTTATCATAAAGTTTATGAGCAAATCCAACCTTCTGTGGCATACTTTACAATTTTGAGGAGCCCAACACAGTTCTTCACAACATTCCAACATGTGTAAATTTCTATAATAAAAATAGCGTTGCAAGGTTACAGTTATCTTACATGGAAGATAATTATGAAAATAAACCTCTATTACAGGAATTTCATAATCTTGTTTTTTAGAAAGGGATCTGAGAAATTCAATTGTCTCTAAGATAGAAATAAATATAAAGAATAAGTACAGATAATGCTCGCTTTGGAAGCACATATACTAATATTGGACCGATACAGAGAAGATTAGCGTGGCCCCTGCTCAAGGATGACATGCAAATCTGTGAAGCGTTCCATTAAAAAGAAAAAAGAATAGGCCGGCGTGGTGGCTCATGCCTGTAATCCCAGCACTTTGGGAGGCCGAGGTGCGTGGATAACCTGAGGTCAGGAATTCGAGACCAGCGTGGCCAACACAGTGAAACCCCATCTCTACTAAAAATACAAAAATCAGCCGGGCGTGGTGGTGCATGCCTGTAGTCCCAACTACTGAGGAGGCTGAGGCAGGAAAATCTCTTTAACCCTGGAGGCAGAGGTTGCAGTGGGCCGCCAAGATCATGCCAGCCTGGGCAACAGAGCAGGACTCTGTCTCAAAAAAAAAAAAAGAATAACTACTATAGACTGAGCCTAAACTGTATACAACTAGTAGGTAAATATTCTCTTACCTCTGTCCTTTCTAAGCTGAGGGAAAAAGATGCCTTGTTTTGTGTTTTCAAAAGTGCTTGTGCCAGTAGCCTTTACTTGAATTTCTCATGAAGTACCATTGAAACTTGTGGACTGAGGCCTTAAATATAATTTTAAACAAGGCAAATCAAAGTATTTGGAGCTTATAATATTTCTACAAACCCTTGTATAAACTGTGATGTAATTTTCATGTATCTCAGCCTCTGGCCCTCCCAACCCCACACCTTATTGACAACCCGCCTTGACATCTGTGCTAGGTGACAGACCCTGGAGATGCACACAGTGAGGGCAGAGCTTAGGAGTGTGTGCTCTGGGATCCGATTGCCCAGGAAAAAATCCTCATCCCTCACTGTTGTCACTTTATGGAGATGGAAGTATAGTCCCAGATGAGGGATACAGTTAATAATGCTTACTCAGAGAACTGTGAGGATTAGATAAGACCAAGCCGGCATACTCTTAATGTAGTACTTGACCATAGAAATGATAAAAATTAGGAGCTATTATTATTTCTTGACACCTATTTCTCCATCGCTGTCATATCTCCTCTGAGTTCTGCTTTCATTGGCCAAGATTATAGCTAACAAATCTGCCAAACTAATCTTAGCTTGCGGAGAGGAGGCTATGGTGAGTGTGGGCTTCTCTCCTGTCTCTGCTTGGAGGTTACACATGTTTATGTCCACAGTGATCCCGGGTAGCCAAGTTCCTACCTTTAAAACCAACAATGCTAATGTTTAGCTAATGAATGTTATTTGTCAAGCACAATTTTAAATCTATTAAATATATTAATACATTGGAGCCTCACTCCCAGCCTAGGAGGTAGATGCTATTATTATTATGCCCATTGTATAGTTGAGGTAGCTGAGCTTGGGTCACCAACACAAACCACACTTTGTAAGTGACCCCCGATTTCCATCCACACCTATGGGCTGCCATGGCTTAGCTGCCTCCTATGCAATTAGATCAGGAGGGAAAACCGATCTTATCCCTCATCACTTTGCCCAACAAAGAGGCAATTACTAAGTCCATTGATTGCTAAGCAAATTGAGGTGTAAAGAGGTGAAGCGCTTCTTGTCTGGTCAGATCACCGTCCCTGGGAGCAGTGTTATCACCTCTAACCCTGCTATACTCTTTGCCAAGAGCAGCTGCTTTTCTTTATTTACTAATGAAGTGTGGTGGCTAGAGCATGGTTTTGAAATAGGAGGCACAGCGTTTCAATCCAAGGAATGTTATATAACGTGGCATAGTGACTTCCTACATTCGGTTTCCTTATCTATGAAATGGGGATAACAACTGAATCTCTATCACAGGGTTGTTGTGAGTATTGAAGGAGGAAAGACTTATGGTAGCTGGCTCATAGCAAGTGCTCATGAAACACTTACTATAATTATTATCATATTATTCTACAGCCAACTTAAATTGGCTCTCTTAAAAATTCATTAGATCAAAAGCAACTGGGTCAAAATTTATAAATTTGTTTGCTCTTTTATTTATTGGGCAATAGGTGCTAGGGCATAGGCAAACTTTAGTCTTTCACTTTATACTTTCAAAAATCATGTTTAAATCTGTGAGATGTATCTTCAGAGGCAGTTTCTATAAGGGATATTTTAAGTCAGAAAATTTATGAGAAAAATTGTTATTTTCTGGATAAATTGAGATAACTCCTAGATTAAGTTTGCTTCCGCCACACTCTTCCCGTTGCAGTTCTTCTAACTCAGATCTGGGACTATTGCTTCTCTGCTGGATGGCCTGGATGGCAGAATACCAAGCCTGCCATTTAAGGCTGCCTCCACCCTGGCCTGCTTTTTCTCACATCCTTGCCTCCTGCTAACACTCCTGTGGATCTGTCACTCCAAACTCATTTTGCTTTCCTATTGCCTGAGAAGACCTCGAGCTCTACTCTAGCTGCCCCCTCCCCATCTCCAGCAGTCTCAGTCAAGGGATGCCTCTTCCAAGGTGAATTCTTCCCTCAGGATGCAGCCAGCTGTAATGGGCACAGTGAGCAGGGCATCGGGAGTGATCATTGTCAGACTGCCTTGTATCATGGGGCACTGGCATGCCTTACTTATCTTGTCTACTGGATATTCTCTATAGTTCTGTCATAAGCCAGCACAGCACTCTCCCATTCAATCCTTCTTACCTATTTATTTTTAATTGGGAAAAGCAACACAGGAACTACAATTTTTTTTTATTATTTTTTATTTTTTATTTTGAGACGGAGTCTTACTCTGTTGCCCAGGCTGGAGTGCAGTGGCACGATCTCGGCTCACTGTAAACTCGGCCTCCCGGAGGAACTACAAATTTTAAAAGGAAAAACCACACCCCAAATCTCATCATCATAAAAATATGTACTCTTACCCATTATTTCAAAGGCTTTGTTCATATGCATATATATTAATATATCTCACAATTGCAATTATAGTAGAGATGCAATTATACATTTATTGCCCCTTTATTATATCCTATTGTTTCCATATTTCTGAAAAATTACCACAATTATTTTGATATATCAACTCACACAAAAATTTAGAGTAACTTTTTAATAATGTAAGATTGATTTAGAATCACACTTGTTGGTTTCTGTTTCATGACAACCTAAATTTTATTATAGTTGTTTTCTAAGTATAACAAATAAGATATTTTCAACTCTTTTCAGAGTTTTTCAATAGGTTATAGCTCATTTGACTTGGAAGAGTATAACATTTTATTCAGAATTCATGTTTTAAAATGTGATTGCTTTTCGTTCGTGCTCCCTTTAAATCAGTCAGTCTGGCTTTTGGAAAAAATAATCTGCTAGAAAAGATGCTTATTTTTCTGTTTTGATGGAGATGCAGAAACTTGCATGTATAACAGGGTATTCAAATGGGACTCTTTCTTTTGTCTCAGTTTCTGCCAAGACCTTAAGTCTGAGAAGAAAGAAAAGATTAATTTTCCACATACACTTAAAGAGAAATTTCAGACCATATGTGTGGGACTTGCAGGGTGATGGTGTGATTCTGATTCCTTCACTCTCCTAGTATGCACGTGAGGAGAGGCTTAAAGGCCAGTGGAGAGATTTCAGAGAGAGAATTCCTTCAGGACAGATGAGAGTGCCAGGGCATTCATCCCCCCTACTGTGCCCCAACTCAAGGCAAGTGAAGGGACAGCTAGAGATCTTGAGGGTTTGCTATGGGCTTGGGGAGCATGGGCACTAGCATTTTAGCCTTAAAATACTGATAGGCAAAAGACTGCCTGGAATGACATTTGGTGACAGAGCTGACCAAAAGCACGGCCAGGAGTGGCCTGATTTTCATGACGTGGGATGGGAGTGAAGGGGATGTCAGCGATCATGGTTGCTTCTTTTGAGCCAGATTTAGACCTCATGGAAGGCAACAAGATGTGGATCATCTTGAAAAGATGCCAAAGAGGATGCCCTGCAGGGGTGACGTGGTTTCAGTAAAGGGGTAGAAGATAGGAAGGCAGTGGGCAGCCAGCTGGAGGAGGAATTGTCCACATTGAGGGACCTGAAGGGAGCAGAGGTTTCCCAGTGGACACAGAGCTTCTCTTAATAGAAGGCGCCAGTCAGCATGTGGACACTGACTACATACAGGGCACCATTGCTAGATGACACCGTTACTATACCCAGCTGAATAAGATATTTTCTGACCCAACTCCCTTCGCTGTTCGAGCCCTGGAGGAGCCAGAGGCATCACTGTGAGTAGCAGAGGAGAAGAGCAGCCAGAGGGAAATACTATGGAAGCTGACTGCATCCGCCTCACCCACCCACAGTTTCTCTCTTTGGTAGGTCTAGACCTGGAAGGTCCTCCAATACAGATTGGAGCAGACATTTCTTAGGGAGTGAGTGGACAGGAGAGAGGACTGAGTCAGTTATACACCTCAGTTCATGGCACACTAGTATCATGAATTTGCGAAAAAGCTTTTTTTGTTATATATATTTATGCATTTTTGTTCCCACTCCCTACTCCAATTCTTCCCCATGGAAAACCATTTTAATGGGTTCCATATGTATTTCTTGTTCCAGTGTGTTCTGGAAAACTTTGTATTATTGTTTTAGTGTGTGTGTATTTTCCATGAATGTAAGTAGCTCTGCATTAGCTTATTTTATTTCTTGTTTTTCGTGGAGTGTTGCTGTGAAGATTTGCCCATGTTGCCATGTGGTCTGCTGTGCCTAGCTGCTGCAGTAGGAAGTAATGGGTCCGGGCTTTTTACACCTAAAAATGGAGACCATTTGTTAGTACCTGAGAGTGAAAACTCTGTATTCTGCCCCATATTTCATCCAAGGCAGAGAAGAATGATTCCACAAAGGGTTTGGAGGTAGTTGCCTGGAAAAAAAAAAACCAAAAAAAAAAACAAAAAAAAAACCAAACAAACAAACAAAAAAACTCTTTTATAATTGTAGCCCATCAAGCCCAGTTATTTTAATTAACCAGCTGCAATAGTGTTTACTGATACATCAACATATAAGAACTGAGCACCTGTGATGTGCAAGATTCTGGCAGATTTGGGGATAAATCATATAATAAAAGGCAATATAAAATAAAGCCATTCTGGGAGGTACAGAAAGTAAGGGCATGAGGGTTCAGGGAAAGGAGAGAGAAGTTTAGCCAGGGACACTAGGAGAATAAAGAGGAAGGATTTGAGTTGAGATTTGAATGCTTAAACAGGATTTTGATAGAATGCAAAAGACATTCTAGTTGGGGAAGTTACACGAGCAAAGTAAAAGCAAGATCCAAAGTGCAAAACTACAACTGAGAGGTGATAAGTAGAAGGTTTTTTGTTTGTTTGTTTCAAAATATTAGTTTATCTTACTAAATGGTTAATAGTTTTGGGAGGCCAAGGTGGGTGGATCACCTGAGGTCAGGAGTTCAAGACCAGCCTGACCAACATGGAGAAACCCCATCTCTACGAAAAATACAAAATTAGCCGGGCATGGTGGTGCACACCTGTAATCCCAGCTACTTAGGAGGCTGAGGTAGGAGAATCACCTGAACCTGGAAGGCGGAGGTTGCGGTGAGTCGAGATCATGCCATTGCACTCCAGCCTGGGCAACAAGTGCAAAAATCTGTCTCAAAAAACAATACAAAACAAAACAAAACAAAACAACAAAAAAAGAAGAAGTGTAATCCAGAGTGATGATAAATTCCCTCCTAGGTAGATCCTTTGTTATTCTCAAACATCAAAATAAGGAGGTAGTGGTAGGGAGGCAAATTTGAGTAGGTCAAAATGTGTATGTGTTCTTGTGTGGGGAAGGATCAAGGGTTCCAGTCTTGCATTTTTAAAGTGGCAGTTTTTATGTTTTGAGCCAATGCCTCAGATCCTGACATATCTCCTTATCATATTAATTTGGTAAACACTTTTTTAAAACCCAGCTTCTTTTATGCACTCTTTGCTGCATTATGGAACACTCTTATGCTGTAATTGGTATGAGGTTTGTCAGCGTGCATATGATGAGTTCTCCATGATTTTGTGTTTTTTTTCCCTCTAATCTGACTTTATCAAGAAGTTCTTGATGTGTTGAAGCACCTTATAATCCACAGTGAAGCTCTGTGATTTGTCTTTCTGAACTCTAGACTTGAAAGATTCCTGTTCCTCATTCAGATCTTGCCCCTTTTCTAACAGTACCCCTCACGGATTAATTCCCATCTTAATGTGTCTCTGGTAAAACACCTGATATCATGTCACTGAGGAGGAAGCACTAGGTAAATTTGAGTTGTTCTGGGAGTTTAATGTTAACAGTATTTGTGTGATGGAAAGGATCTCTAAACTTCAAGTCAACAGTGGGATTTTGTAATTAAAAAGCTAGTGGCTGGGCATGGTAGCTCACACCTGTAATTCTAGCACTTTGGAAGAGCAGGGCAGGCGGATCACCTGAGGTCGGGAGTTCAAGACCAACCTGAGCAACATGGAGAAATCCTGTCTCTACTAAAAAAAAAAAAAAAAAACAAAATTAGCCAGGTGTTGTGGCACATGCCTGTAATCCCAGATACTCAGGAGGCTGAGGCAGGAGAATTGCTTGAACCCAGTGAGGAGGAGGTTGCGGTGAGCCCGGATCGTGCCATTGCACTCCAGCCTGGGAAACAAGAGCAAAACTCCATTTCCAAAAAAAAAAAAAGCTAGCATTCAAGTTCCAAACGAAAGTGGCTTTGCTTTACTACCAATCTCCCTCACTGTTCTTCCATTTCTCCTTTTCTTTCAGAGCATTTTATCAAGGGCCTGCCAGAATACCACGTGGTGGGTCCAGTCCGAGTAGATGCCAGTGGGCATTTTTTGTCATATGGCTTGCACTATCCCATCACGAGCAGCAGGAGGAAGAGAGATTTGGATGGCTCAGAGGACTGGGTGTACTACAGAATTTCTCACGAGGAGAAGGACCTGTTTTTTAACTTGACGGTCAATCAAGGATTTCTTTCCAATAGCTACATCATGGAGAAGAGATATGGGAACCTCTCCCATGTTAAGATGATGGCTTCCTCTGCCCCCCTCTGCCATCTCAGTGGCACGGTTCTACAGCAGGGCACCAGAGTTGGGACGGCAGCCCTCAGTGCCTGCCATGGACTGGTGAGTGTGGGCTCTGGCATCTCCTTCCTCTGCCCTGGCCCCTAGAGTCTCAGCTGGTAGACCTACTACCAACAGGTTCACAGATGCACTGACATATGGGAGTTGAACCCCTGTGATGTGATGATCCTGGCCTCCAAAGTGGTTGGCGAGAAAGTATTTAATAAATAAAAGAGATCGACTTGAGAGATACAAAGAGTAAGGGCACTGAGGGTTCAGAGGAGGCAGACAGAACTCCAACCAGCAACATCAGTTTGGGGTTGGAGGGGGAAGAAGAGGGAGGATTTGAGTTTGGTTTTCAGCCTCTGAGGCAGCTCTGAGGCAACTGACTGGCTGGACAGCGTATTTTGAATGAGCAGAACCTAGATTTGGACTGAGAATTTATGAATAATGATGGTGATAGAAGCTGCTGTGATATAATAGTTGACTCTGTGTGCTTCGTAATCAGACTTCATGAGGGAACCTCGGGCAGTCAGTTGATCCCTTTGTGCCTCTGTTTTCTCATCTATAAAATGGAGATAATAGTAGTACCTGTCTCATGGAGCAAGGTTTGGCAAACTATGAACCATAGGCCAAATCTGGCCTGCCTCTTGTTTTTATAAATAAAGTTTTATTGAAAGGCAGATATGCTGTGTGTTTACAGATTGTCTATGGCT
Organism: Homo sapiens; assembly: GCF_000001405.40. NCBI lineage: Eukaryota > Metazoa > Chordata > Mammalia > Primates > Hominidae > Homo > Homo sapiens. The sequence goes on along the minus strand of NT_187551.1, from coordinate 81,789 downwards.
GTTTTCAAACTGCAACAACAGAGCTGAGTAGTTGGTGTAGTTACTGTATGGCTGAAGAACCGCACAATATTTGCTGTCTGGTCTTTCAGAAAAAGTTTACTGACACTTAATTGTGAAGAGTGTTTAATAAATAATAAACACTCAATGAATATTGGCTGCTGTTATTGTATTTTATTATTCGAATATGCCAGGCACTGGGATATGTGGTTTACTATGTGGTTTATGTACATTGTCCACTTTGCCTCGTTTTAGCAGATGAGACAGTTTGGAGATACTGAATAAATTCACTGTGCAAGTTACTTTGGGTTCAAGTCTTTCTATCATTATACGCTATATCTCAAAATGCAGCAACAGTGATGGCCCCACCAGCAACTGCAGGGCAAACAATGCTCAGGAATTCTGTTGAGATTTTTTGAGGTGTGTGTTTAGGGAGTGAGTGACTGCAGGGGAAGGAATCCCAGAGTCTCGAAAGTGGTTATGGAGGAGTCCGTGTTTTTGGCCTTGGTCCCTGTGCCAGGGCTGGTTTGCTAAGCAAAACTTCTAGTGGCATTGGCATTCCTACAAAAGGCACTTGTTCCAAATCCTCCCATTGTTACTGCCATTTTGCTAAGAATTTCTGTACTTTGTAATTTAGGGCTCTGTTTATCTTGTATCTCTGGAGTTTGGCTTTGCTAGAATACTGTGAGAAAATTCAGTAAAACATTATCCAGCAGTTTAAGTTTTCCAGAGGACCTCTGGGGATGAATTGCTTTGTACAATAAATGGAAAGTCTTGCTTTACCTCTTTCTGTAAATTTGGATTTTCATATTAGGTGTTTATCGTTTCCCCCTAATTAGATCATAGCAGAAAATCAAGAATGGTGAATGGTTTTCTATTTTTCTTTTCCTCTTCTCTCTGGGCCTCATCAGGGGCTTCATTGAGCTGCAGAACATTTCCCAGCTCCACGGCTGTCATCATCTAGGCTTGCTCTGGACTCACATCACATCTCGCCTTTGCAATCCTGGCTCTCATTCCTGTGAGACAACCCTGGAAGCATTATGGCACCTGGTCCTCTATGGCCAGAACTGGAGAAAGTTCTGGATGATGAAACATTATCCTGCTCATTAAACATGAGCATCTTTCCATGGGATGGAGCAGTATGGTCTGTGGACCTGCAGAATCAACATCACATTGAATGGGGAGCTCATTACAAAGACAAACCCATGGGCTGCACTTCAGACCTAGTGTGTCAGAATCTCGGGGGAATGGGCAAAAATGTCTCTGTGTGTGTTTAGCTGCTTTACTGAGATATAATTCACATATATACGGTTAACCCACTTAAAGTTTACAGCTAAATGGCTTTAAATGTGTTCAGAGTTGTGCAGCCATCACCATGAATTTTAGAATATTTTCATTAGCCCACAAAGAAACCTATATCCCTTAGCAGTCACTTACCCATTCCCCCATTCCTCCACTCCTAGGGAACCACTGATCTACATTTGGTCTCTGTAGATTTGCTTGTCTGAAACCTTTGTTTTAATTAGCTGTCCAGGAGATTCTGATGCCCGCTGAAGTTGGAGGAGCCCTGGACTAGAGTAGTCGTTGTTAACCCTGGCTCAACATGAAGACTAGCTGGCTAGCTTTAAAATGGACCCATGCACCAACCCCACAGCCTAGATGTTTTGATTTAATTGGTCTGAGAGTAGAGTCCCAGCATCAGCATTTTTTAAAGCTCCCTGGCAGGAGATTCTAAATTGCAGTCAATGTTGCCAACCACTGGATTAGCATAAGTGGGTGTTAATGGGTGGTATTGGCCAGTGTTACTCTAAAGTACCAGATCTCCCCAGGTGATTCTAATGAGCAACCAGGGGTGCAACCACTGCTGTAAATTGCTCCCTATTTTCATCTTGTGCTTTCTAAGGGAAATTGCATATTGTTTAGCATTATCCTAGGCTTGGGAATAGAATACTAGGACCCTTTCAATTTCAAATGTCCCCAAGGAGCAGGAGTACTACCATGTAGGCATTTTCAGATTCAGATTTCAGATTCATACGACGTTCAGAAGCACAAAGTGTTAGTTAAGATGATGGGAAATTTTCACATCCAGATCAGTGAATGATTTTGCCAGAAGAAATTCTACTGGGAGGATTATTTTGGAACCTTTTACACAAAATTGGATGTTTAATGGATGGTTATAAAAAAAAAAGGCACCCAAAGCCAAATGAGTTTCTTTCCTTTCTGTGTGTGCACTACTTGGCTGGATTCAAGTTCATTTGCTTGTGTGCCACAATTTGCCAGTGTCCACCTAGAGTGGTCGTAGTCCAAAGGATAGTGGTTGGACTTGTACCTGACTTCTGATCACGTGTCTAGGGTCTGACATCCAGTATAGTTGTTCTCTCTTTCACCCAGGTATGGCCCTACATTCAAATTCACAGGATGGCAGGCCTAGGATCTGCTGGCTCTAAGCCCTTCTCCACTTTTAGGGGCAGAAGTAGCATTTGGGAAGTCCTTCTTAGGAAGAAACACATTCATGTGGACCAGGACGTCTGCCTGTCATTCCTGGGGTGCAAGCCTGGCTTTGTTTGTTTCAGATGTGGTCATCTGAATGAGATGTTGGAGGCTCTTGGAGTTGTCTGTGATTTGAGACTCATTTAGTCTCCTCTGGAGCAGACTCAGATGATTTCAAACTGAGGACCCTAGAAAAGCTACCTATGGGAAGCTGTGGGACAACCTTCTTCCTGCATTTAATATACTCTAGCATGGTTCCAGCCCTTGTCCTCTTTGAGGCTGCTCCCAGACTGAGTCAGCCCGTGTCTCGGCTCAGCAGCTGTCCTCTCTCATCTCCACCGTTTTCACTACCCTTCTCCCATCAACATTTTCACAACTTTGGCATTGTGGAATTTGTTTGTTTTAACAGTTTAGTTAATTTCTTCCATTCTCAGCTTTTTGATGGAGGAACTGTGTTCTTTAATCAGTTAGATTCTGAATTTATCCTCAGGAATGAGTATCGCAGTGGGGGTGGGTTTGGTTTTGCTGTTGCCAGGAGCACTACCGAATTGGTTCCAAGTGAATTTGTTGTTAGTATTTTAGTTTAGATTTCTGCACTGGAAGGATAGTCCAAGATATCCACCCTCGTGCATAAGACAGGATTGGGGTTCTGATTTTTCAAAGGGCGTTCTAATTCTGCTAAGCACTTATCCTCTGGACTGTGTACCTGGGTCATTAAACTTATAATTTTAATTTCTGTTTATAGCACATTATGTAATTCCTGTTCATAGCATTTCTTAGCTCAGGCTTTACTAAAGTGAATACAGTTTTTGACTCTATCAAAAACTCTAATTCCAGCCCCTGCTGGGAAATCAAATTCTAATTCTTTATCTGAATAGCTGGTCATGGATCTCTCAAGGGCCATCCAGCTTTAACTTCCATCCACTCTCCAGCCTTAAGTTTCCCTTTCTCTTTGGGTGAATTGAGATTTCCTTTCTTGTTTTAAACTCAAATATGGGTTAAACTTTTGAGAGAGATATTTCTTAGTATTTTTATGTTAAACTTTTTATTTTGGAATAGTTGTAGATTCATAACACTTGTAAGAACTAATTCAGAGAGGTATTAGTATGTACCCTCTACCCAGTTTCCTCTGATGGCAACATCTTGCAAAATTACTGCACAGTATCACAGCCAGGATTTTAACACTGATGTGGTCAAGATGACACACTTTTCCATCACAAGAATCCCTCATGTTATCCTTTTATAGCTATACCCATTTCTCTCATGGTACCACCACCTCATATTTATATTTTACATTTAAGTCCATAATCCATTTTGAGTTAATTTTTGTATGAGGTATGAGACTTAGAGGTTCTCCTCCCTCCCCTCCTCCCTCCTTTTCTCTCTTCCTTCCTTTCTTGCTTTGTTGTTTGCCTATGGATGTCTGATTGTTCCAGCACCATTTGTTGAAAGGCTGTTTTTGTTTCATTAAGTTGCTTTTGCACTTTTGTAAAAAATTAGCTGGATGTATTTTTGCGAGTCTATATCTGAGTTTTAGGTTTTGTTCCATCAATAGCACACAGTCTTCATAACTGTAGCTATATAATTAGTCATGAAATCAGGTAGACTGATTCCTCCCATTTTAGTCTACTTTTTCAAAATTGTTTTAGTAATTTTAGTTTCTCTGTCCTTCCATATAAATTTTACAATAATCTTGTCTACAAAATCTTGCTGGGATTTTAACAGGAATTGTATTACATCTATATATTAGTGTGGGAAGAATTGACATCTTTGCTATGTCAAGTCTTGTGATCCATGAACATGGTATGTGTCTTGATTTATTTAGATCTTCTTTGATTTTTTCCATCAGTGTTGTGTAGTTTTCAACATCCTAGCTCTATATGTGTTTTGTTAGATTGACTTCTAAATATCTCATTTTCTAAGTCCTTATATTTTTAATTTTAGTATTCATGTGCTTATTGCTAGTATGTAAACACATAATTAATTTTTGTATGTTTACTTTGTATATACTGTGAATTTGCTAAACTGTCTTATTAACCCTAAGATGGTTTTTTTAGAAGATTCTTTGGGATTTCCTATGTATACAATAATGTCATTTGCCAATGGGGCAGTTTTATTTCTTCCTTTCTCTTCATATGCCTTTCAACTTTCTTTTCTTGCTTTATTACTTTGGCTAGAATTTTGAGCACTATATTGAATAAGAATGGGGAGAGCAACATCTCTTGCCTTTTCTCCAGTCTTAGGGAGAAGGCATTCAGACTTTTATCATTGGGTATACTATTAACTATCTGTTTTGTTTTGTTTTTGTAGATGCTTTCTATCAAGTCACGGAAGTTTTCTGAGAGCTTTTTTTGATTTTGAATGGGTATTGAATTTTGTCAAGTGCTTTTCCTGCATCAGTTGATATGGTCATGTGACTTTTCTTCTTTAGCCTATTAATATGATGGACTATATTGATTAATTTTTTAAAAAGTGTTTATTTTTTAAGAGCAGTATTAGGTTTATACCAAAACTGAGAGGAAAGTAAAGAGATATCTCATAATCTCCCTGCTCCCATATATACATAGCTTCTCCCATTTTCAACATCCCCCACCGGAGTAGTACATTTGTTATAATTGATGAATATATGTTGACACATCATTATCACCTAAAGTTTATTGTTTACATTAGAGTTCACTCTTGGTGTTGTACATTCTATAGGTTTGGACCAATTTATAATGACATATATCCACCATTATATTCTCATATAGAGGATTTTCACTGCCCTGAGAATTTTCTGTGCTCCACCTATTCATTTCTCCACTCTCCTACCCCTGGAAACCACTGATCTTTTTAGTTTTGCATTTTATAGAATGTCATATAGTTGTAAAGCATACAATATGTAGCCTTTTCAGATTGGCCTTTTTCACTTAGTAATATGTCTCACTCTGTCAGTAGGCTGGAGTGCAGTGGCATGATCTCGGCTCACTGCAACCTCTGACTCCCTGGTTCAAGCAACTGTCCTGCGTCAGCCTCCCGAGTAGCCAGGATTATAGGCACGTGCCACAATGCCCAGCTAATTTTTGTATTTTTAGTAGAGACGAGGTTTCACCATGTTGGCCAGAATGGTCTCAATCTCCTGACCTCATAATCTGCCCACCTCAGCCTCCCAAAGTGCTGGGATTACAGGTGTGAGCCACTGCACCCAGCCCCCTGAAGTTTTTTTATGGCTTGAAAGCTCATTTCTTTTTAGTGCTGAATAATATTTTATTATCTGGATGTACAGTTTGTGTATTCATTCACCTACTGAAAGACATCTTCGTTGCTTTTAAGTTTTGGCAGTTATTGATAACGTTGCTATAAACAACCTTGGGCAGGTTTCTTTGTGGACAAGAGTTTTCAACTCATTTAGGTAAATATCAAGAAGTGTTACTGCTGGATTATATGGTACGAGTATGTTTAGTCTTGTAAGAAGCAGCCAAATTGTCTTCCAAAGTGGCTGCACTATTTTGCATCCTCACCAGCAATGAAGGTGAGTTCCTATTGCTCCATATCTTTGTCAGCATTTGGTATTGTCAGTGTTCTGGATTTTGACCATTTCAATAGATGTGTGGTGGTATCTCATTTTTGTTTTAATTTGCATTTTCTTCACCATGGAAATGCATATGATATGGGATATCATTTCATATGCTTGTCATATGTATATCTTCTTCAGTGAGGTTCCTGTTAAGGTCTTTGTTCTAGTTTTTAATCAGGTTGCTAATTTCCTTATTGTTGAGTATTAAGAGTTCTTTGTAAATTTTGACAGCAGTTGATTTATCAGATGTCTTTTGCAAATATTTTCTGTCAGTATATGACTTGTCTTTTTATTCCCTAAATAGTGTGTTTCACAGAGCAGACATTTTTAAGTTTTATAAAATCCAGCTTATCAATTATTTCTTTCATGGGTAATTCCTTTGATGTTGTATCTAAACAGTCATTGAAAAAAACAAGGTTATCTAGATTTTTCTCCTGTATTATCTCTAAGAATTTTAGAGTTTTATATTGTACATTTAACTCTGTCATCCAGTTTGCATTAATTTTCTTGAAGAATATAAGATTTATTGTGTTAGTTTTCCCAAAGGGTGTCTGGATTATTTTTGCCTGTGAATGTTCATTTGTTCAGCACCATTTGTTGAAAAGCCTGTCTTTTCTTCATTACATTGCCTTTCCCACTTTGTCAAAGATAAGTTGATTATATTTATGTTGGTCTATTTATGGGCTCTCTATTCTGTTTCATTATCTATTTATCTATTCTTTCACTAATATCACATGGTCTTGATGATTATACCTTTAATGTAAATCTTGAAGTCCGATAGTGTCAGTTCTCCACTTCTCCTTGCATTCTGTATTGGCTAGTCTGTGTGTTTTGACTCTCCATATAAATTTTAGAATCATTTTGTGAATATCCACAAAGTAAATTGCTAAGATTTTGGTTGGGATTGCATTAAGTCTATAGATTAAGTTGGAAAGAACTAACATTTGAATAACATTGAATCTTCCTATCCATTAGCATGGAATATCTCTTCATATATTTATAGCTTCTTTTATTTCCTTCATCAGAATTTTGTATTTTCCCTCATATAGATCTTGTACATATTTTGTTCGATGTATCTAAGTATTTAATTTTTGGAGAATGCTAATGTAAATGGTATTAAGTTTTTAATTTTAAATACTTCTTGTTCATTGCTGGTATATAGTAAAACAACTCACTTTATTAACCTTGTGTCCTTCAAGGCTGGGTACAATCACTTGCTACAATTGTTTCAGGAGTGTTTTTTTTTTTTTTTTTTTAATCTACATAGCATTCACGTCATCTGTGAACAAAGTATTATTTCTTCCTTTGCAATTAGTATACTTATATTTCCTTTTCTTGTTTTATTGTACTACCTAGAACTTTCAATATGGTGTCAAAAAGGAGTGGTGAAAGAGGACATCTTTGCCTTACTTTTGATCTTAGTGGGAAAGCTTCTAGATTCTCATAAGTATGAAGAGATATTCTGTATTAAATTGAAGAGTTTTATCTCTATTCCTATTTTACTGAGATATTTTATCATAAATGGGTGTTGGATTTTGTCAAGTGTTTGTCCTCCATCTATAGGTATGATCATGTAATTTTTTTCTTTAGCCGTCAGTGTCATGGATTACATTAATCAATTTTTGAATGTTGAACTAGCCTTGAATACCTGGGATAAATCCCACTTGATTGTGTTGTATTATGTGTCCTGCCTGAAATGTGTCTGGGTCCCTTTTAGCCATAGCTGGAGCTGGAGTGGCTGGGACACAGGGAGCAGAGCAAATGTCTTCTTATACATTGTTGGGTTCAGTTTGCTTGAGGGGTTTTGCGTCTCTGTTTATCAGAGAAATTGGTCTGTAGTTTTCTTTTCTTTTCTTTCTTTCTTTTTTTTTTTTTTTTTCAGATGAAGTCTCACTCTGTCACCCAAGCTGGAGTGCAGTAGCACAATCTCGGCTCACTGCAACCTCTGCCTCCCGAGTTCAAGCGATTCTCCTACCTCAGCCTCCCCAGTAGCTGGGACTACAGGGGTGTGCCACCATACCCGGCTAATTTTTGTATTTTTTTTAGTGGAGACGGGGTTTCACCATATTGGCCAGGCTGGTCTCGAACTCCTGACCTCGTGATCCACCTGCCTTGGCCTCCCAAAATGCTGGGATTACAGGCGTGAGCCACCACGCCCAGCTAGTTTTCTTTTCTTGTAATGACTTTGGTTTCGGTGTTAGGGTGATGCTGGCCCCATGGAATGAGTTAGAAAGAATTCCCTCTGCTTCTGTCATCTGAGAGATATTTCAGGGAACTGACATAATTTCTTCTTTAAATATTTGGTAGAGTTCACCAGTGAACCTATCTGGGCCTGATGATTTTTCTTTTGGAGGGTTATTAATTATTGATTCAATTTTTAAAATAGATAGAGACCTATTTACATTGCCTATTTTTTCTTGTCTGTGTTTTGAAAGATTGTGTCATTCAAGGAATTGTTTCATTTCATCTAGGTTACCAAATATTGGGGCATATAGTGGTTCATAATATATGAACCTTTATTCTTTATTCTATAATATTTCTCACATAATGAACATGTGAGAAATGTTCATTCTCACATTGCCATAGAGAACTACCTGAGAGTGGGCAATATTTAATGTCCATGGAATCTGTAGTGATATCCCATCTTTCATTTCTGATATTGGTAATTTGTGTTCTTTCTCTTTTTTTCTTAGTTAGCCTAGCTCAAGGCTTACTGATTTTATTGATCTTTTAAAATAATCAGCTTTTGGTGTTACTATTTTTTCTGTCTTTAACTGCATTGAGTTCTGCTCTAATTTTTACTAGTTTTTTTTCTCATTGAATCTAATGTGCTCTTTTTTTTTCTAGTTACCTAAGGTGGCATTGGCTCATTTTTCAAATATTGAAACAGGCTTGCATCTCTGGAATTAATTCCACTTGGTCATGGTGTACAATTCTTTTTATATATCACTAAATACTATTTGCTAATATTTTTAAAAGGATTTTTGCATCTATATTTATGAAAGATATTCTTTTGTAGTTTTCCTTTCTTTTCAGTACTGTTTGTGTCTGATTTTGGTATCAGGGTAATATTAGCTTTATAAAATGAATTGGGTAGTGTTTCCTTATCTTCTGTTTTCTGGAAGAGATTGCATCGAATTTATGTTAGTTATCTTTACATGTTTGGTAGAATTTGTATTGAAACTATCTGGGCCTAGAGACTTCCTTTTGGGAGTTTTAAAAAGTTATGAACTTTATATTCTTAACATAATTCTTAATAGGGCTATTCAAATTTTCTATTTCATTTTGGGTGAGTTGTGGTGGTTTGTGTTTACTGAGGAATTAGTTTATTTTATCTAAGCTGTTAAATTTATGTATTGATTTGTTCATTGTTCTCATATCTTTTTTGGGGGGAAATTTTACTTTCATCTTCATATTAATTCATTGTCACATGGCTATAAAGAACTACCTGAAACTGGGTAATTTATAAAGAAAAGGGGTTTAACTGGCTCATAGTTCCACAGGCTGTACAAGAAGCATGATTGAGGATACCTCAGAAAACTTACAATCGTGACAGAAGGCAAAGAGGAAGGAGGCACATCTTATATAGCCAGAGAAGGGGGAAGAGAAAGCGAAGGGGTAGGCACTACACACTTTTAAACAACCAGATCTCATGAGAACTCACTCACTATCACAAGAACAGCAAGGGGGAAATCTGTCCCCATGAGGCAATCACCTCCCATCAGTCCCCTCCACCAACACTGGGGATTACAATTTGCCATGGGATTTGGACAGGGACACAAATCCAAACCATATCATTTTAGCTCTGGCCCCTCCTAAATCTCACGTTATTCTCACATTGCAAAATACTATCATCCCTTCTCAACAGTTTCCCAAGTCTTAACTCATTTCAGCATTAACTCAAAAGTACACTGTACACTGTTGTGGGAAGTCAGGGACCCCAAACAGAGGGACCTGCTGAAGCCATGACAGAAGAACATAAATTTTGAAGATTTCATGGACATTTGTTAGTTCCTTCCCCAAATTAATACTTTTATAATTTCTTATGCCTGTTTTTACTGCAATCTCTGAACATAAATTGTGAAGATTTCATGGACATTTATCACTTCCCCAGTCAATAGTCTTATAATTTCCTATGCCTGTCTTTACTTTAATCTCTTAATCCCATCATCTTCATAAGCTGAAGATGTATGTCGCCTCAGGACCCTGTGATGATTGCATTAACTGCACAAATTGTTCGTAAAGCCTGTGTGTTTGAACAATATGAAATCTGGGCACCTTGAAAAAAGAACAGGATAACAGTGATGTTCAGGGAACAAGGGAGATAACCATTAGGTCTGAGTGCCTGGGGGCCAGGCAGGACAGAGCCATATTTCTCTTATTGCCAAAAACTGGTAAGAGAAATATCACTGAATTTCTTCACCAGTAAGGAATATTAATAATTAACATCCCTGGGAAAAGAATGCATTCCCAGGGAGGGCCTCTAAAATGGCCACTCTATGAGTGTCTACCTTATGCAGTTGTAGATAGGGATGAAACATGCCCTAGTCTCCTGCAGCGCCCCCAGGTATATTAGGATTAGGAAATTCCTGCCTAGTAAATTTTAGTCAGACCAGTTGTCTGCTCTCAAACCCTGTTTCCTGATGTTTATCAGTGACAATGTGTGCCCAGTGGGACATGGATCTTCATTAGCAATTCTAGTTTTGCCCTGACCTTGTGATCTTGCTCTGACCTTCTGCCTTGTGATATTTTATTGCCTTTGAAGCATGTGATCTCTGTGACCCACACCCTATTCGTACACTCCCTCCCCTTTGAAAATCGCTAATAAAAACTTACTGGTTTTGCGGCTCAGGGGGCATCACAGAACCTGCCAACATGTGATGTCTCCCCTGGACACCCAGCTTTAAAATTTCTCCTTTTCTCACAGCTCCTCTAGTCAGTGCCCTAGTGGGGACCCTGTGTAGGGTTCCAGCCACACATTTCCCCTCTGCATTGCCCTACCAGAGGATCTCCATGAGGGCTCTACCCCTGCAGCAGACTTCTGCTTGGACATCCAGGCATTTTCATACATCCTCTGAAGTCTGGGTGGAGGTCCCCAGTCCTCAGCTATTGCCCTCTGTGCACCTGCAGGCATAACACCACGTGGAAGCCACTGAGGCTTACAGCTTGCATCCTCTGGAGCAGTGGCCTGACATATGTCTGGGACCCTTTTAGCCATGGCTGGAGCTAGAGTGGCTGGGACACAGGGAGCAGTGTCCCAAGGTTGCACAGGGCAGTAGTGCCCTGGGCCTGGCCCACAAAACCATTCTTTTCTCCTAGATCTCTGGGTCTGTGATGGAGCAGCTGCTGCAGAGGTCTCTAGAATGCTTTTGAGGCACTTTCCTCATTGTCTTGACTATTAACATTCAGTTCTCTTTGCTTACACAAATTTCTACAGCTAGCTTGAATTCCTCCCTCAGAAAGTGGGTTTTTATTTTCTACCACATGGCTGGGCTGCAAGTTTTCCAAACTTTTACAGTCTGCTTTCCTTTTAAAAAGAGATGTCCAATATTTTGGCTTCTCTGGGCCACATTGGAAAAAGAAGAATCGTCTTGGGCTACACATAAAATACACTGACACTAATGATAGCTGATGAGCTAAAAAATTTTTGCAAACAAATGTCATAATGTTTAAGACGTTTTAGAAATTTGTGTTGGGCCACATGTGACCAATGGGCCATGGGTTGGACAAACTTGCTTTTAAATGTAAATTCCAGTTCCAAGTCATTTCTTTGCTCACAGTATAAGCATAGGTTGCTAGAAACAGCCAGGCCACATCTTGAACATTTTGCTCCTTATAAATTTATTCCACCAGATACTCTAAATCATTACTCTCAAGTTCAAAGTCCCATAGATCTCTAGGGCAGGAGCACGATGCCTCTAACCTGTTTGCTAATGTATAACAAAAGTGACCTTTGCTCTAGTTCCCAACAAGTTCCTCATCACCATCTGAGACCACCTTAGCCTGGACTTCTATGTCACTATCAGCCTGGATTGTCCATATCACTGTCAGCATTTTGGTCACAGCAATTTAACAAGTCTCCTGGAAGTTCTAAACTTTTCCTCATCTTCCTTTCTCCTTCTGAGCCCTCCAAACTGTTCCAACCTCTGCCTGTTATCCAGTTCCAAAGTCACTTCCACATTTTCAGGTATCTTTATAGCAATGACCCACTTCTAAGTACCAATTTTCTATATTAGTCCATTCTCATAGTGCTATAAAGAACTACCTGTGACTAGGTAATTTATAAAGAAAAGAGGTTTAATTGACTCAGTTCCATAGGCTGTACAGGAAGCATGGCTGGGGAGGCCTCAAGAAATTTACAATCATGGTGGAAGCCAAAGAGGAAGGAGGCATATATTACACGGCCAGAGGAGGAAAGAGAATGGAGGGAGAGATGCTACACACTTTTAAATACCAAATCTCATGAGAACTCAACTCCCTATCATGAGACCAGCAAGGAGAAAATTTTTCCCCATGATCCAAATCACCTCCCATCAGGCCCCTCCTCCAACACTGGGGATTACAGTTCCACATGAGATTTGGGCAGGGACACAAATCCAAACCATATCAAACTTAATATTACATTTGACTTAGTATAATTGATAAAACAAGCAGATAAAAAAATTCTGTAAGAATCTAGAAGATTTGTGCATCACAATTAATAATTTTAACTTGTGGACATATATATAACAGTACACCCAACATTGCATAATTTTTGTTTAAAAACTTTTTATATATGTGTGTGTGTGTTTGTGCTGTGTGTGTGTGTGTATTTTTATTTCAATAGCTTTTGGGGTATAAGTAGTTTTTGGTTACATAGATGAATTGTATAGTGTTGAAGTCTGAGATTTTAGTGCACGCATCACCCAACTAGTGTACACCATCCAATATGTGGTTTTTTTTATCACTCATCTCCCTTCCAACCTCCCACTTCTGAGTCTCCAAAGTCCATGATACCACTCCATATGCCTTTGATTATCCATAGCTTAGCTTCCACTTATAAGTGAGGTCATACAGTATTTGGTTTTCCATTCCTGAGTTACTTCACTTAGAATAATGACTTTTAGCTCCATCCAAGTTTCTGCAAAAGACATTATTTTCTTCTTTTTTATGGCTGGATAGTATTTCATGGTGTATGTATACCACATTTTCTTTATCCATTTGTTGGTCAGTGGGCACTTAGGTCGGTTCCATGTCTTTGCAATTGTGGATTGTGCTGCAATAAACACACGTATGCAGTTGTCTTTTTTATATGATGACTTCTTTTCCTTTGAGTAGATACACAGTAGTGGGATTTCTGGATCAAATGGTAGATCTACTTTTAGTTCTTTAGGAAATTTCCATACTGTTTTCCATAGAGGTTTTACTAATTTACATTCCCACCAGCAGTGTATAAGCATTGCCTTTCACCACATCTTTCACCACACCTATGCCAACATTTATTTATTTATTTTTTTTTTACTTTTAAATAATGACCACTTTTGCAGGGGTAAAATAGTATCTCATTGTAGTTTGAATTTTCATTTCTCTGATAATTAGTGATGTTGAGCATTTTTTCATATGTTTATTGGCCACTTATCTTCTTTTGAGTAATGTCTGTTCATTTCATATGCCCACTTTTAGATGGGGTTATCTTTTTTTCTTGCTGATTTTTTTGAGTTCCTTGTAGATTCTGGACATTGGTCTTTTTTAGATGCATAGTTAGCAAATATTGTCTCTCATTCTGTGGGTTTTCTATTCACTCTGATGATTATTTATTTTGCTATGCAGAAGCCATTTAATTTAATTAGATTCTACTGATATATTTTTTGTTTTGTTGCATTTGCTTTTGGGGTCCTAGTCATAAATATTTTGCATAGGCCAATGTTCATAAGAGTTTTTCCTAGGTTTCTTCTACAGCTTTTATGGTTTCAGGTCTTAAATTTAAGTCTTTGATCCATCTTGAGTTGATTTTTGTATAAGGTGAGAGATGGGGATCCAGTTTAATTCTTCTATATGTGGCTCTAGAGTTTTCCCAGCACCATTTATTTATTAAACAGGATGTCCTTTCCCCAAGTTTTATTTTTGTATTTTTTGTCAAAGATCAGTCAGCTGTAAGTATTTGGCTTTATTTCTGGGTTCTCTATTCAGTTCCATTGGCCTATGTATCTATTTTTATAACAGTACCATGCTCTTTTTGTATCTATAGCCTTGTAGTATAACTTGAAGTGAGGTAATGTGATACCTTTGCCTAGGATAGCTTTGGATATTCAGGCTCTTTCTTTGGTTCCATATGAATTTTCAGATTGTTTTCTAATTCTGTGAAAAATGATGTTGGTATTTTGATAGAAATTGCATTGAATCTATAGATTACTTTTGCAGTATGGTCACTTTCATGATATTGATTCTTCTAATCCATGAGCATGGGATATGTTTCTGGTTGTTTGTATCATCTGTGATTTCTTTCAGCAGTGTTTTATAGTTCTCCTTGTAGAGCTCTTTTATCTCATTGGTTATGTGTATTTCTAGGTATTTTGCTTTTGTAGCGATTGTTAAAGGGATTGAGTTCTTGATTTGATTCTCAGCTTGGTCGTTGTTGGTGTATAGCAATGCTACTGATATTTGTACATTGATTTTATAACCAGATACTTTACTGAATTTGTTTATCAAATCTAGGAGTCTTTTGAAGGAGTCTTTAGGGTTTTCTAGTTATACAGTCATATCATCAGTGAACAACAATAGTTTGACTTTCTGTTTTCTGATGTGCTTTATTTCTTTCTCCTGCCTGATTGCTCTGTCTAGGACTTCCAGTAGTATGTTGAATGGAAGTGGTGAAAGTGAACATCCTTGTCTTGTTCCATTTCTCAGAGGCAATGCTTTAAACTTCCCCCCCTTCAGTATGATATTGACTGTGGGTTTGTCATATATGGCTTTTATTATTTTGAGGTATGTCCATTCTATGCCTCGTTTGTTGAGGGTTTTTATCATAAAGCAATGCGGGATTTTATCAAATGCTTTTTCTGTATCTATCAACATGATCATATGGTTTTTGTTTTTATTTCTGTTTATGTGATATATCACATATATTGACTTCCATCATCCCTACATCCCTGGGGTGAAATCCACTTGATCATGGTGTATTATCTTTCTGATATACTGTTGGATTTGGTTTGCTAGTATTTTGTTGAGGATTTTTGCATCTGTGTTCATCAGGGATATTGGTTTGTAGTTCTTTTTATTATTATTATTATGTCCTTTCCTGGTTTTGGTATCAGGGTGATACTGGTTTCATAGAATGATTTTAAGAAAATTTTCTGTTTCTCAATCTTTGGAATAGTTTCAGTAGGATTAGCACTGATTTTTCTTTGAATGTCTTATAGAATTAAGCTGTGAATTCATCTGGCTCTGATCTTTTTTTTTTATTTAATATTTTAAGTTCTGGGATACGTGTGCAGAATGTGCAGGTTTGTTACATAGGTATACATGGGCCATGGTGGTTTGCTGCACCCATCAACCTGTCATCTACATTAGGTATTTCTCCTAATGCTATCCCTTCCCTAGCCCCCTAACCCCCTACAGGCCCTGATGTGTGATGTTCCCCTCCCTGTGTCCATGTGTTCTCATTGTTCAGCTCCCACTTAAGAGTGAGAACATGCCGTGTTTGGTTTTCTGTTCCTGTGTTAGTTTGCTGAGAATGATGGTTTCCACCTTCATCCATGTCCCTGCAAAGGACATGAACTAATCCTTTTTTTATGGCTGCATTGTATTCCATGGTGCATATGTGCCACATTTTCTCTATCCAGTCTATCATTGATGGGCATTTGGGTTGGTTCCTAGTCTTTGCTATGGTGAATAGTGCTGCAATAAACATACATGTGCATGTGTCTTTATAGTACAATGATTTATAATCCTTTGGGTATATACCCAGTAATCAGATTGTTGGGTCAAATGGTATTTCTGGTTCTAGGTCCTTGAGGAATCACCACACTGTCTTCCACAATGGTTGAACTAATTTACACTCTCACCAATGGTGTGAAAGCATTCCTATTTCTCTACATCCTCTCCAGCATCTGTTGTTTCCTGACTTTTTAATGATGGCCATTCTAACTGGTGTGAGATGGCATCTCATTGTGGTTTCGATTTGCATTTCTGTAATGACTAGTGATGATGAGCTTTTTATCATATGTTTGTTGGCTGCATAAATGTCTTCTTTTGAGAAGTGTCTGTTCATATCCTTTGCCTACTTTTTGATGGGGTTGCTTTTTTCTTGTAAATTTGTCCTGAGTGGTATTACCTAGGTTTTCTTCTAGGGTTTTTATGGTTTTAGGTCTAACATTGAAGTCTTTAATCCATCTTGAGTTAATTTTTGTATAAGGTGTAAGGGAGTGGTCCAGTTTCAGTTTTCTGCATATGGCTAGCCAGTTTTCCCAACACCATTTGTTAAATAGGGAATCCTTTCTCCATTGCTTGTTTCTCTCAGATTCATCAAAGATCAGATGGTTGTAGATGTGTGACATTATTTCTGAGGCCTCTGTTCCATTCCATTGGTGTATATATCTGTTTTGGTACCAGTACTATGTTGTTTTGGTTAGTGTAGCCTTGTAGTATAGTTTGAAGTCAGGTAGTGTGAAGCTTCCAGCTTTGTTCTTTTTGATTAAGATTGTCTTGGCTCTACGGGCTCTTTTTTAGTTTCATATGAAATTTAAAGTAGTTTTTTCTAATTCTGTGAAGAAAGTCAATGGTAACTTGCTGGGGATAGCATTGAATCTATAAATTACTTTGGTCAGTATGGCCATTTTCACGATATTGATTCTTCCTATTCATGAACATGGAATGTTTTTCCATTTGTTTGTGTTATTGTTTGTGTCCTCATTATTTCCTTAAGCAGTGGTTTGTGGTTCTCTTTGAAGAGGTCATTTACATTCCTTGTAAGTTGGATTCCTAGGTATTTTATTCTCTTTGTAGCAATTGTGAATGGGAGTTCACTCATGATTTGGCTCTCTGTTTGCCTATTATGGATGTATAGGAATGCTTGTGATTTTTGCACATTGATCTTGTAACCTGAGTCTTTGCTGAAGTTGCTTATCAGCTTAAGGAAATTTTGGACAGAGACAATGGGGTTTTCTAAATATACAATCATGTCATCTGCAAACAGAGACAATTTAACTTTTTCTCTTCCTATTTGAATACCCTTTATTTCTTTCTCTTGCCTGATTGCCCTGGCTGGAACTTCCAATACTATGTTGAATAGGAGTGGTGAGAGAGGGCATCCTTGTCTTGTGCCGGTTTTCAAAGGGAATGCTTCCAGCTTTTGCCCATTCAGTATGATATTGGCTGTGGGTTTCTCATAAATAGCTCTTATTATTTTGAGATACGTTTCATCGACATCTAGTTTATTGAGTGTTTTTAGCATGAAGGGGTGATGAATTTTATCGAAGGCCTTTTCTGTATCTATTGAGATAATCATGTGGTTTTTGTCGTTGGTTCTGTTTATGTGATGGATTATATTTATTGATTGCATATGTTAAACCAGCCTTGCATCCCAGGGATGAAGCCGACTTGATCTTGGTGGATAAGCTTTTTGATGTGCTTCTGGATTTGGTTTTCCAGTATTTTATTGAAGATTTTTGCCTTGATGTTCATCAGGGATATTGGCCTGAAATTTTCTTTTTTTGTTGTGTTTCTGCCAGGTTTTGGTATCAGGGTGATGCTGGCCTCATAAAATGAGTTAGGGAGGATTCCCTCTTTTTCTATTGTTTGGAATAGTTTCAGAAAATGTGCTACCAGCTCCTCTTTGTGCCTCTGGTAGAATTAGGCTGTGAATCCATCTGGTCCTGGGCTTTTTGTGATTGGTAGGCTATTAACTACTGCTTCAATTTCAGAACTTGTTACTGGTCTATTCAGGGATTTGACTTCTTCCTGGTTTAGTCTTGGGAGGGTGTATGTGTCCAGGAATTTATCCATTTCTTCTAGATTTTCTAGTTTACTGTGTAGAAGTGTTTATGGTATTCTCTGATGGTAGTTTGTATTTCTGTGGGATCAGTGGTGATATCCCTTTTATCATTTTTTATTTGATTTTCCCCTATTGTGTCTATTTGATTTTCCCCTATTTTCTTCTTTATTAGTCTGGCTGGTGGTCTATCTATTTTGTTAATCTTTTCAAAAAATCAGCTCCTGGATTCATTGATTTTTTGAAAGGTTTTTCATGTCTCTATCTTTTTCAATTCTGCTCTGATCTTAGTTATTTCCTGTCTTTTGCTAGGTTTTGAATTTGTTTGTTCTTGCTTCTCTAGTTCTTTTAATTGTGATGTTAGTGTGTCGATTTTGGATCTTTTCCTCTTTTTTCTGTGAACATTTAGTGCTGTATATTTCCCTCTAAACACTGCTTTAGCTGTGTCCCAGAGATTCTGGTATGTTGTGTCTTTGTTCTCATTGGTTTCAAAGATGTTCTTTATTTCTGCCTTTATTTCGTTATTTACCCATTAGTCATTTGGGAGCAAGTTATTCAGTTTCCATGTACTTGTGAGGTTTTGAGTGAGTTTCATAATCCTGAGTTCTAATTTGATTGCAGTGTGGTCTGAGAGTCTGTTTGTTATGATTTCTGTTCGTTTGCATTTGCTGAGGAGTGTTTTACTTTCAATTATGTGGTCAATTTTAGAATAAGTGCAATATGGTGCTAAGAAGAATGTGTATTCTGTTGATTTGGGGTGGAGAGTTCTGTAGATGTATATTAGGTCTGCTTGGTCCAGAGCTGAGTTCAAGTCCTGAATATCCTTGTTAATTTTCTGTCTCATTGATCTGTCTCATATTGACAGTGGGGTGTTAAAGTCTCCCAATGTTATCGTGTGGGAGTCTAAGTCTCTTTGTAGGTCTCTAAGAACTTGCTTTATGAATCTGGGTGTTGCTGTATTGGGTGCATATATATTTAGGGTAGTTAGCTGTTCTTGCTGCATTGATCTCTTTACCATTATGTAATGCCCTTCTTTGTCTTTTTTGATCTTTTTTGGCTTAAAGTCTGTTTTATCAGAAACTAGTATTGCAAACCCTGCTTTTTTTCTTTCATTTTGCTTGGTAAATATTCCTCCATCCCTTTATTTTGAGCCTATGTGTGTCTTTGCATGTGAGATTGGTCTTCTGAATACAGCGCATTGATGGGTCTTGACTCTATCCAATTTGCCAGTCTGTGTATTTTAATTGTGGCATTTAGCCCACTTACCTTTAAGTTAATATTGTTATGTGTGAATTTGATTCTGTCATTATGGCATTAGCTGATTATTTTGGCTGTTAGTTGATGCAGTTTCTTCATAGTGTTGATGGTCTTTACAATTTGGTATGTTTTTGCTGTGGCTGACACCGGTTTTTCCTTTCCATATTTAGTGTTTCCTTCAGGAGCTCTTGTAAGCCAGGCCTGGTGGTGACAAAATCTCTCAGCATTTGCTTGTGTGTAAAGGATTTTATTTCTCCTTTGCTTATGAAGCTTAGTTTGGCTGAATATGAAATTCTAGGCTGAAAATTCTTTTCTTTAAGAATGTTGAATATCGGCCCCCACTCTTCTGGCTTATAGGGTTTCTGCAGAGAGATCCACTGTTAGTCTGATGGGCTTCCTTTTGTGGGTAACCGGACCTTTCTCTCTGGCTGCACTTAACTTTATTAAGGTTAAAATGAAGATTGAAACTTCATTTCAACCTTGGTGAATCTGATAATTATGTGTCTTGAGATTGCTCTTTTCAAGGAGTATCTTTGTGGTATTCCCTGTATTTCCTGAATTTGAATGTTGGCCTGTGTTGCTAGGCTGGGGATATTCTCCTGGATAGTATCCTGAAGTGTGTTTTCCAACTTGGTTCCATTCTCCTCGACACTTTCAGATACACCAATCAAACACAGGTTTGGTCTTTCTACATAGTCCCATATTTCTTGGAGGCTTTGTTCATTCTTTTCCATTCTTTTTTTCTCTCATCTTGTCTTCACACTTTATTCATTAAGTTGATCTTCAATCTCTGATATCCTTTCTTCCACTTGATTGATTTGGTTATTGATACTTGTGTATGCTTCACGAAGTTCTTGTGCTGTGTTTTTCAGCTCCATCAGGTCATTTATGTTCTTCTTTAAACTGGTTATTCTAGTTAGCAATTCCTCTAACCTTTTTTTAAGGTTCTTAGCTTCCTTGCATTGGGTTAGAACATGCTCCTTTAGCTCAGAGGAGTTTGTTATTACCTAACTTCTGAAGCCTACTTTTGTCAATTCATCAAAGTCATTCTCCATCCAGTTTTCTTCCCTTGCTGGCAAGGAGTTGTGATCCTTTGGAGAAGAGGCATTCTGGTTTTTGGAATTTTCAGCCTTTTTGTGCTGGTTTTTCCTCACGTTTGTGGATTTATCGACCTTTGGTCTTTGATGTTGGTGACATTTGGATGGGGTTTTTGTTTGGATGACCTTTTTGTTGATGTTGATGCTATTCCTTTGTGTTGGTTAGTTTTCCTTCCAATAGTCAGGCCCCTCTTCTGCAGGTCTGCTGCAGTTTGCTGGAGGTCCACTCCAGACCTTGTTTGCCTGGATATTAGTAGCAGAGGCTGCAGAACAGCAAAGATTGTTACCTGTTCCTTCGTCTGGAAGCTTTGTCCCAGAGGGGCACCCACGAGATGCCACCTGGAGCTCTGCTGTATGAGGTGTCTGTCGACCCCTGCTGGGAGGTGTTTCCCAGTCAGGAGGCATGGGGGTTAGAGAGTCACTTGAGGAGGCAGTCTGTCCCTTAGCAGAGCTTGAGCACTGTGCTGGGAGATCCACTGCTCTCTTCAGAGCCAGCAGGCAGGAATGTTTAAGTCTGCTGAAGGTGTGCCCACAGCCACCCCTTCACCCAAATGCTCTGTCCCAGGGAGATGGGAGTTATATCTATAAGCCCCTGACTGGAGCTGCTGCCTTTCTTTCAGAGATGCCCTGCTTAGAGAGGAGGAATCTAGACAGGCAGTCTAGCTACAGTGGCATTGCTGAGCTGCGGTGGGCTCCGCCCAGTTTGATCTTCCTGGCAGCTTTGTTTACACTGTGAGGGGAAAACCACCTACTCAAGCTTTAGTGATGGTGGATGCCCCTCCCCCCACCAAGCTAGTCCATCCCGGATCAACTTCAGACTGCTGTGCTGGCAGCGAGAATTTCAAGCCAGTGGATCTTAGCTTGTTGGGCTCTGTGGGGATGGGATCTGGGGAGCTAGACCACTTGGCTCCCTGGCTTTAGCCCCCTTTCCAGGGAAGTGAACAGTTCTTTCTTGCTGGCATTCCAGGTGCCACTGGGGTATGAAAAAACTCCTGCCGTGAGCTCAGTGTCTGCCCAAACCGCCACCCAGTTTTGCGCTTGAAATCCAGGGCCCTGGTGGCATAGGCACCTGAGGGAATCTCCTGGTTTGCGGATTGTGAAGACCATGGGAAAAGTGTAGCATCTGGGCTGGAGTGCACCGTTCCTCAAGGCACAGACCCTCACGGCTTCCCTTGGCTAAGGGAGGGAGTTCCTTGACCCCTTGTGCTTCCCGGGTAAGGTGACACCCCATCCTGCTTCTGCTTGCCTTCTGTGGGCTGCACTCACTGTTTAACCAGTCCCAATGGGATGAGCTGGGTGCCTCAGTTGGAAATGAAGAAATCACCTGCCTTCTGCATTGATCTCACTGGAGCTGCAGACCAGAGCCATTCCTATTTGGCCATCTTAACCAGGTCTCAAGTTTTTTTTGTTGTTGGCAATTTCTTTTTTCTTTTTTTTTTTTTTTTTTGAGATGATGTCTTGCTCTGTGACCCAGACTGGAGGGTAGTGGTGTAATCTTGGCTCACTGCAGCCTAAACCTCCTGGGATCAAGCAATCCTCCCACCTCAGCCTTCCAAGTTGCTGCGACTACTGGTGTGCAACACCACACCTGGCTAATTTTTAAAATCTTTTGTAGAGATTGGGTCTCACTATGTTGCCTTGGCTGGTCTTGAGTTCTTGGGCTCAAGCAATCCTCCCACCTTGGCCTTTCAAAGTGCTGGGATTATAGGCGTGAGCCAGCACGCCTGGACTTGTCCTTTTCTACTGTAAGCATTTTGTGCTTTAGCTTTTCCTCTCAGCATTGCTTTTTCTGTGTCTTACAGTTTTGATATGTTACATTTTGATTTCATCTAGTTCACTGAAGTTTTTAATTTGTTTGAGACTTTTTCTTTGACCCATGGATTATTTAGAAGTGTCTAGTTTGCAAGTGCTTGGAGGTTTTCCTGTTATCTTTCTGTTATTGAATTCCATTTTAATTTCATTGTAGTCAGAGGACACAGTTTATATTATTTCAATTCTTTTAAGTTTCTTGAAATTTATAGTTCCATCTTGAAAAGAATGTGTGTCTTGCTGTTGTTGGAGAGAGTGTTTCATAAATGTTTTATTAGATACTGTTGGCTGATGGTCTTGTTGAATTCTTTTACTTTACCCTAGCTGATTTTCTGTCTAGTTGTTCTGTCATTTTTTGAGAGATAGAAGTATTGAAGTCTCCAACCATAATTGTGAATTTGTCTATTCATCCTTTCAGTTCTATCAGATTTTCTTCACATATTTTGCATCTCTGTTGTTTGATGCATATACATTTGGGATTGCTATACACTTAGGTCTTCCAGGTGAAGCGACATGGTTATCATTGTATAATGTTTATCTCTGTCTCTGGCAGTTTCCTTTGCTCTAACGTCTAACTTAGTCTTTAAGAGGCAGAAGTAAATATAATTCCAATTTTTCTGTGTGTTTCTCAAGGAACATAAGAGAGGTTTCAGTTCTAACTGAACTTATCAAATTCCCTTTGCTTTGGAGCTTCAGTTTTTTTTCTTTTCCAGCCTTACTGATGTATAATTGACAAACAAAAATTGTGTATATTTAAGATGTACAACTTGGTGATCTGTTATACATATATATGTAATAATAACCACAGTCAAGTGAATCAGCATATTCATCACCTCATATTAATTACCATTTTACCATTTTCTTTTTTTTTTTTGTGATGAGAGCACTTAAAATCTACCCTCTTAGCAAATTTCAAGTATACACTTCAGTATTGTTAACAACAGTCACATTGTTTTACATTAGATCTCTAGAAATTAATCATCTTACATAACTGAAACTCTGTACCCTTTGTGCAACATCTCCCCATTTCCCGCTTCCCCCAGGCTCTGGCAACCACCATTCTACTCTCTGCCTCTGTGAGTTTGACTATTTTGGTTCCACATATAAGTGAGATCATGCCGTATTTGTCTTTCTGCAGCTGCCTTACTTCACTTAACGTGGCATTCTCCAGGTCCACCTATGTTGTCACACATGACAGGTTTTCTTTCGTTTTAAAGGCTGTGTAATATTTTATCACACATATACACACGTGTACATGTATTGAATTTCTTTATCCATTTGTCTGTCAGTGGACATTTAGGCTGTTTCCATATCTTGGCTATTGTGGATAGTGCTGCCATAAACGTGAGATTGCAGCTATCTCTTGAAGACAGTGATTTCAATTCCTTTGGGTATATACCCAAAAGTGGAATTGCTGAATCATATGGTAATTTACTTTTAGTTTTTGAGGAATTTTCACACTGTTTTCTGTAATGGCTGTACCAATCTACATTCCCACCAGCAGGATACAAGGGTTTTCTTTTCTTCGCATCATGGCCAAACTTGTTATCCCTGGTCTTTTTTATAATAGCCATTCTGACAGGTGCAGGGCTATATCTAGTGGTTTTGATATGCATTTCCCAGATATTTAGTGAAGTTTTCCACCTTTTCATATACGTATTTGCTACTTGTATGCTTTTTTTTTTTGAGAAGTCCTTTAAAATTTAGAGATGGGGTCTCACTATGTTGCCCAGGTTGGACTTGAACTCTTGGGCTCAAGTGATCCTCCTACCTCAGCCTCCCAAATGGCTGGGATTAAAGGTGCAAATCATCCCACTGGCTGCCACTTTTTCTGGAGGGGCTACCTTTTACAATTTCACCTGCCTTCCCTGCATGACTTCTTGCAATTTGCACAAATATGTGTGACTATAAGAGTCATATAGCCCCTTACCCATAGGATTTGGCCCAGCTTTATGTTCCCAGATGACAATCACCCAGGACACAATAGTCCATCACCAGCATGTTTTCCAAAGCCTGAGTTATTTAGTCTCAAACAGCAGTGCAGGGAGGTTTTGCGGGGGATGTGTGTGTATTATTCAACAGATCCTTTTCCACCGAGCTACAGCAGGTCCTGACCAATTCTCTATCCAGTCTCTCCTTTGATTCAAGGTGAAGAATAAGTCTGTGTCTATTTCTCGAAATCATTCAGGTTTTGCTTCTATCTCCAGTGAAGAACTGTTTGTGCTGGAATACAAGTTGGGAGGCCTTCTCAAGAAGACACAATTATGCTGGGTACAGTGGCTCATGCTGGTAATCCCAGCACTTTGGGAGGCTGAGGCAGGAGGATTGTTTGAATCCAGGAGTTGGAGACAAGCCTACACAACGTAGTGAGGCATCATCGCTACAAACAAACAAACAAACAAAATAGCTGGGTGTGGTGGCGCTTGCCTATAGTCCCAACTACGTCGGAGGTTGAGGTGGGAGAATTGCTTGAGACTGTGGTTGATACAAGGCTGCAATGAGCTGTGATCATGCCACTGCTCTCTAGCCCGGGCAATAGAGCAAGACCCTGTCTCAAAAACAACAACAACAAAAAAGATACAATTATATAAAGACTCACATTCTATAAATATGCAGAGAAAAAAAAACATTTCTCCCATACAAATATGCAAAACTGCAGTGACACATTTCTGCTGAAATATAAACCCAGTAGTCATGTTCGAAGGCAAACATGACTCGTTTCCCTGTTTAACCACCTTTACATCAAGATGAAGACAATTTTTATTTTAATCACCAGAACAAATAGAATGTCTGCTCCAAAAAGAAATTTAATCTTCCTTCTTTTAACATGTAGGACACCGTGGAGCTTTGGAATAGCTTTCCAGCTTCTAACCAGCAAGGAATCAATTTGTCCTAGGATATGCTGTTATAATAATTTGAACTTGTTAAACTTCCTTAGATTCTAATTTCCAGAAATGCAAGGATTAAGCATTCTCTCTGTTTAGCTGTGTGAATGCTACAAATGAGGATTAGTGACATTTAAAATGTGTGCCATCTGATGGTGCCTCCATTGAGAGAGGGGACATGCCTCATACCACGTTACTCTTTTAAGTGCAGTTCAGTTCTTGGCCCAGATGGAAAATTCTGCTGGTTCCTTTTCCATACAATCAAAGAATGTGACCGTTTCTGCCCTCTTGTTCTTGAATGCTGTCTAAAGCCTGGGGTGATGTAGCTGAGGAATGAAATCTACTGGCAGAGCTGTGTGGGAAAACTTGCCCAGTGAGGCTTCTTGCCTTGTTTCCTGATCCGGAACTTTGTGGCTCACTGGCAGAAATCACTGATTTGAGTTGCAGGATGCCTGTGTGTCAGGGTTTGTTGTCCCTCACCAGGGGGAGGGAAATAAATGTTCTGCTTATCCCCTGACTCTGCCCCCCAGGATGAGGAATTCTCTCTGACCTCTGACCTTTGGGGGTTGCCTGGTAAGACCCATGCTTACTCAGACATGAGACTTTGGAATGGGGCCTCTGGCTGGCGGAAATTCCTCCTGTCGCTATCAGTGCTTTGTGCTGCAGCCTCATAAATAGGAATGGTTTTTTCTCCCCCTCCCTCCCTTTTTGTCTTTCTGCTTACTTTTCAGTTCATCAGGTTTATTTTGTGAGTTCCCATCATGACCAATTAGAGATGGGAGGGATAGAATTGAAGAACCTATGTTTTAAGAAGCAGCATTGTTTTCTTCTTTCTGCTGGGTCTTGAATCAGCAGACCTTCCTATGGTCTAGGGATGGTACAGGAGAAGGAATGGAGAATGATCTCTGCTATTACTGGGGAAAGAGGCCAGATTCTCTATTATAGGGTTAGTGACTTGGCTTAAGGGTCTACACAAATGCAGCCCACAGATGTTACTCCCTCTGGTGTTTATCTCTTCTGGAGACTTTACTTTGAATCTCTTCTCTGTTTTCATTACATAAACTGAAGACTAGGTGTCCAGAGCCTCCCTCCAGATATTCATGGATTAATATTTCTGTTCTTTTTGACCGAATATGAATCACAGGTAGGGAGCTTAAATATTAAAGAGAGCTAATCCCTTTTGAAAATGTCCCCATTGATTTACAGATATTAATAAGGACTTTGAAAAATGGGAAAACAAGAGGCCTGGTTTTTATGTCCTGTAACTGAAAAATTGTTTTACTTGGTCATTGGAGGTGATCTTTCAGTATAATTTGACTGATTTATTTTTAACCAGACAACCCATGTGGAGGCTTGACATATTTTGCATAAAGGGCAATTCCACCGAATTTGGGAGTTGGAGGAGCTGAGCTCAAGTCCTAGCTCGACTATGCACTGTGTTACTTTAGACAAGACTTTGCCTCTTTAGAGCTGTTACTTTGGATGAACTGGATCCTTGCAGCCCAGGGACCAGCAGGATTGGCATCACCTGAGGGCTTGTTAGAAATGCACATTCTCAGATCCTCCCCTGGTCAGCTGAATTAGACCTAAATTTTAACAAGATCCCCAGGTGATTTGTATGTGCATTAAAATTTGAGAAGCATTGACCCATTAAACACAGACACTAATTCTATTTGAGTTCACCCTTTTATGTCTTGCATCCTTGTGGCAAATTGTTTGTCGAAAGCCTAATGATGCTTAAAACAGTAGCAGGGAATGATGCTGCTCTAATCAATGTTGATGGGTGAAGGAGTGGAAGAGGAATCTTAGACAATGTGATTCAGGAAAAGACTGAGAAGATACATGGGAACTTGGAAGCCAAAAAAGATGGGTCATTTGGCCAAATGTACCCATTCATTGTCATCCTTTTCTGCTCCCCTATTCTCTGCTGTGTTGCGTTATGTTCAAATCTGTGTCTTTGGCATGGATAGCTCTTACCAGAAAAGCTGCTGGTTCTTCTCATGCTCTTTAATTCTTGTCTGCTTGATGAGTGTGCCAAGCAATAATCTCTTGTTTTGGTGTTTTCATCTAAGCTGTTGAGAAGAGACAGGCTTTCTGGGCCACAGAAGGGCTGGGACAGACAATGACAGCTAGCATTGTTGATGGTTTTATTCCTATCTCAAGGGGATGGACCTTGTTGATTCTAAGTTTAGGTCAAGAATGAAGAGACCTTGATGTTATAAATATTCTCTTAAGAGATTGTTAGTGTGGAGTTTTCCAAGGTGGTGATTAAAATCTATGTGTAACAGGGCAGTGGCAAAACAAGAATTAGGCTCCCTGCTCGGTTCCGGGAGGACAGTACCCATGCAGACAGGGCTGCTGACAGCAGTGCACCCTGGGGACGGCAGGGGTAGGGGCAGGAGGCATGGCCCCTGCTCCTGAGGGGCTGTGGCCACCTTGCCTCTGTTAAGTTCTAGACCCCTGACTAAATGAATGGGGATTTAGAGAAGGTATGCATGTGTTTTTTTTGTGTGTCTCCATAAACTGCAGCCATCCTGTCTGTTTGCCTTTTTATTGATGATACCTGTTATTTGCTTTTAAGCCCTTTCAAATAATCAAATACTGAAAATCTTCCTTTCAACAAACACATACAAATGACCTTCTTAGCTTTTTTCCCAATGGTGTATGTTGCTGGATTTGCTTATTTCCCTCCTTGAGAGATTTCAGACATTTACTTTAATAGAGTGAATTTCATACACTAGTGCTTCCTACCAGACCGTTTCTCTAACTTGCAGACTGCACATTTCCATGTAGACATTCCTTCATAGTTCTGCAATTAAATTGGCTGGGAGGACAATAAACTATTTTCAGAAACAGATTTATCAGATTATGAAATTTCATACTAAACGGCCGCATTTGGTGTCACTGATTCCTCCCTTTACCCATTCTCCATCCACTCACCCTCTGTACCCTGTTTATGGCAGATTTTTCTCTAGACTGTTTTTTCCCGTTTGATTTCTGCTTTGGCCGTAAGAAATGAGTCACTTAATTTTAAAATGCACAACTTTCAGTCTCTTAGTGGGTCATCAGATACTACTATCTTTCTTCCAAGCAGCCTTTCTTTCTTCTAGAAAACCTTTTTAAAAACTTTTTAAAAGTTTACCACTGATTCTTTCTCTTTCTGGTCCTTCAGTATTCTCAGCCGATCTCTAAGGACTTTTTTTTTCTGTTTACCAAACTGAGCTTTCTGGGAATTTTCTTTGGCTTTTCTTTCTCTTCCTTGGTCTTTGTTTTAGTTGTTTTTACAATTTGGTTTTGTTGTTGTTGTTGTTGTTAGCACATTTGCAGAAGAAACACAGGAGGTTAAACTGTTAGATAATATAAGGCTTAGGAATAGTCAGTGGTCTCTTATCTTTTCCAACCTCTACAGAGCTTGATAAGGAAAGAATATGGGGAATGTGCCACTCATGGCAGAGCTTCCGGACAAATTAGAGTTGATTGATAAGCAGGCTATGGTGTGTGTGTGTGTGCTTGCACATGCGTGTGTGCACATGAGCATGTGTATGCCCATACTGGGAGTAGCTAATGCAGAATAAGTCTGCAGAAAGGGGTTTTACCTGAACGTATGGTGCAGAATAAATGAATGAAATCAGCTAGGCTTACTGAAAAAGACATAAAAGCATCTCTGCATCTTTTTTCTTCATTTATTTGAAATTGCATTGCAGCAGAGGGCACATCTGATCTTGGAGGTTGGATATTGTGGGGGACTGGGCAGCAATCCAGTATCCCTTCTGAGCAGATACTCTTTTCTATCTGGAAGGTTGTGATAACAGTTGCTTTGGCAATGACCAGAGGAGGATTTGAGATGTATCGGTGAGTGCTTTACATCCCTCCTCTGGAAAGGATTCTCTCTTTTACTAGTAAATCCTTTTAATTCAATTAGTTAATTCAACTGTTTCAATAAAGAGATTCAAATTTGACAAATAGACTCCTCTTTCCTTTTATTTTATTTTATTTTTTTGAGATGGAGTCTCGCTGTGTCACCCAGGCTGGAGTGCAGTGGCGTGATCTCGGCTCACTGCAAGCTCTGCATCCTGGGTCCATGCCATTCTCCTGCCTCAGCCTCCCGAGTAGCTGGGACTACAGGTGCCCACCACCATGCCTGGTTAATTTTTTGTATTTTTAGTAGAGATGGGGTTTCACCACGTTAGCCAGAATGATCTCGATCTCCTGACCTCGTGATCTGCCTGCCTCGGCCTCCCAAAGTGCTGGGATTACAGGCATGAGCCACTGTGTCTGGCCTCCTTTTATTTTTATTGCTAGCTTAGTCCACTGTGATTTAGGCTTAAGACTTCAGAAGAGTACTCTGTCATGCGCAAGCACTGGACTTGGAGTTGGGAGACCTGAAGTTTATGCCTGAATGCTCCCATCTAGCCAGAAGCTCTAAGAGAAGTTTCTTAACACTCAAGATTCCAGCTTCTTTTTCTGGGAAATGAAGGCTAATTCCTAAGATCTTATAGAACTCAGGAACTCTGACCAAAGCATATCACCTCATGGGGTGATACGTGCAAAATTAGGTATATAGTTGTTTGTTTTATTGGTGGGTGACCTTAGACAAGACTTCGCCTCTTTAGATCTATTACTTTGGGTGAACTGGATCCTTGCAGCCCAGGGACCAGCAGGATGGGAAAAAACTCTCTCTTTGACCTTTGAATCTGAAAAACTAAACAGTCAAAAAATATGAAGGTGAGAAATAATATCCTAGCCCAGGTCATCCAGAGTAGATATTTACACTGTAACATTTTCTGTGCTGTGGACATGGATGGTGGCAGCATGATGCTGGTATCAGACTGTTCCTGTGAGGAAAAGGCTGCTGCAATGAGAGAGGCCTATGGTGTCGAGAGCCTGTTGGGCTTTCCAGGTAGGCAGATTTCAGTCATTAGCTCTGTAACTTTGGGCATGTTAGCTCTGAGATTGTAAAAGGGGCTGACAGCACCTGTTTTGGTTGGGAGGATGGGTGTGTAGCACTTAGCATAGTGCCACACCAAGAACTCTCTTGTGAAAGGGAACAAGAAGGCCTCCCAGAGGTCGCCGTGGCCAGCTTCCCCTGAGGTCTGATTAATCCTCTCTTTTTGTGAAACTTTCTGCTGAGTCATTGTGTCTGAAACCCAGAGGCATGTGAGACCATGCCACATCCTGGGTCAGGAAGTCCCCTTTCACCTGCTTAACCGATGTGCAGGTGACGGACCATTAGACGCTCGTGGTAAGGGTGGGTCACAGTCTGGTGGTGAGATCTGCTCTGTACAGACGATATGGTAAGAACAGATCATCTATTGAGAGTGAAAATCTCCGTGAGAGGAATCTAGGCTTTTCCCCCTTCGTTTTATAATACGTTTAGCAGGTAATAAGTTCACATGCTACAAAACTTAAAAGATAAAAAGGATTTACACTATAAAATACATCTCCCACCTGCCTCTGCTACTAGTATAGTGTGTGTATATATTATATACACATGCTATCTATATGTAGGTAATACATATATAATATGCTATGCAATACATATATATATTGATACAATATATATTGCTATGCAATACATATATATTGATACAATGTATATATTGCTATGCAATACATATATAGATACTATATATTGCTATGCAATACATATATAGATACTATATATTGCTATGCAATACATATATAGATACCATATATTGCTGTGCAATACATATATAGATACTATATATTGCTATGCAATACATATATATTGCTATGCAATACATATGTGTATTGCTATGCAATACACATATGTATTGCTATGCAGTACATATATGTATATATTGCTATGCAATACATATATATATATTGCTATGCAATACATATATATATATTGCTATGCAATACATATATATATTGCTATGCAATACATATATATATATTGCTGTGCAATACATATATATATTGCTATTCAATACATATATATATTGCTGTGCAATACATATATATATATTGCTATGCAATACATATATATATTGCTATTCAATACATATATATAGCGCTATTCAATACATATATATAGCTATGCAATACATATATATATATTGCTATGCAATACATATATATATTGCTATGCAATACATATATATATTGCTATGCAATACATATATATATTGCTATGCAATACATATATATATTGCTATGCAATACATATATATATATTGCTATGCAATACATATATATATTGCTATGCAATACATATATATATTGCTATGCAATACATATATATATTGCTATGCAATACATATATATATTGCTATGCAATACATATATATATTGCTATGCAATACATATATATATATTGCTATGCAATACATATATATATATTGCTATGCAATACATATATATATATTGCTATGCAATACATATATATATATTGCTATGCAATACATATATATAGATGTCTCTTCTCAACAGCTTAGATGAAAACACCACGATATATATATATCATGTGTGTGTATAATATATACACATTAAAGCTACTTAGGTGATTCTGGTGCAGCCAGGTTTGTAAGCTAATAATCTACGTTCTAGATTCACATTTTCTCTTCTGCTTCTCCAAGGCCTGCCCTCCCACTTCTCTTTTTCAGTGCTAATACTTGCAATCACCCTAGGTGATAGACACTCAAAATACTTCTGCTAAGAATAGAAGCCTGCTTGCATTTTCCCTAGGCAAGTTGTCATTGGGGCAACTGATTCAGAATACATCTCAACAATCCCAACAACCTCAAGTAACCTGTATAAAAGATAGGACTCTCTGAAGTCCAGTTTTGCAACTAATACCAATGAGGGAAACACAAATTTGACTTCTCAGGATTGGAGAGAAACATTTCTCATGATGTAGACATGTGTATCATAGGAAACATCCTACAGACAGTTTTCTTAAAATCTTGTATAGATCTTGTTCTTGTCTTCAACATTTCACATTCACATTCACAGAAGCTTCTGAAATCCCTCCATCTTTCACCTCACTATGTCGCTTGTTTGTCTATCCTCTGCCCTCATGTTGACTTCCTGTTGGGTGACAACTGGCACTTCAGGTTCTGGATTCTGGCTGAGCTGAGACACTCCAAGGTGGCTGGTGGTGGTCTGGGCAACTCCAGGTACTCAGGCATTTCCTTGCTTCACTTTTTTTTTTTTTTAAACAGAGTCTTACTCTGTTACCCAGGCTGGAGTGCAGTGGTGCGATCTTGGCTCATTGCAACCTCCGCCTCCTGGATTCAAGCGACTCTCCTGCCTCAGCCTCCTGAGTGGTTGGGATTACAGGCACCTGCCACAATGCCCTGCTCCTTTTTGTATTTTTAGTAGAGATGGGGTTTCACCATATTGGCCAGGCTGGTCTCAAACTCTTGACCTCAAGTGATCTGACCACCTTGGCCTCCCTAAGTGCTGGGATTACAGGTGTAAGCCACTGCACCTGGCCATTGTTTCACTCTTTATGGAAGGGAGAGGATATCCTTGGAAACACAATTTCTTCCTGTGACAGATCTTTGGTGAATACAGTCTTCTACCTCATTCACCTTACAGGTGCTGTGCCCACCCATTAAAGGTGGCCTGTTTTCTGGTAACAGCTTCACCTGAGCCTCTCCAAGGCCCCCTTTGCCTAACTTACTGCTACTTTTATCTTCCTTGGCAGTTAAGTAATCCTATACTTGATCATTTGGGTATAATCATTCTGGGTTTGATCCAGTCCTTGAAACTTCCTTTTTTTTCTTTCTTTCTTTTTTTTTTTTGAGATAGAGTTTTGCTCTTGTTGCCCAGGCTGGAGTGCAATGGCGCGATCTCGGCTCACCACAATCTCCATCTCCCGGGTTCAGGTGATTCTCCTGCCTCAGCCTCCCGAGTAGCTGGGATTATAGGCATGTGCCACCTTGCCCGGCTAATTTTTGTTTTTTTAGTAGAGACGGGGTTTCTCCATGTTGGTCAGGCTGGTCTCCAACTCCCGACCTCAGGTGATCCACCAGCCTAGGCCTCCCAAAGTGCTGGGATTACAGGCGTGAGCCACAGTGCCTGGCCGAAACTTCCTGTTTTTTATTAGTGTCCTGTGGGCAGTGAACATGTGGTCTGGCCAGGCTTGCATGAAGGTGCTACCCTTGAGTCTGGACATGGGTAGAAATGCTTGTGGATACGTGAAGATCCACATATCTCTGAGATAGATCTACACATCTGTAACATAGCACCTTTAACATTTTCCTTCTCTCAGGGCCTTTGTGCTGGATTAGGGCTTCACTCTCAGTTCTTCTCACAGGCCAACTTGGGAGTTCTACTGTAGGACAGACCCCCACGAAGTTGTTTGTTTTCCCTTTCTGGAACTTGATCAGAGGCAGCTGGTGTCTTGCCTGGATAAGTAGCAAAGTGGGAGAGAAGACAGAAAGGAGGTATTGGTGGGCAAGAGAAGCTCCAGTTGTTAATCTAGTACATCAGAAGAGAGAAGCAATATTGCTACATCTTGGGGAAGCCCAAGAATATGGTCTTTGATCATCAAATGAGCTAATTGGTGTGCAATTTTATTTTATCTTTTTAGGACTCATTGCTTCATAGTTGTGCTGAAAAGCCTTCAAACCTCCGGGGACAAACATTTCCTTAATCAGAACAAAGTTTCAGGAATTTATTAACAAGTATTCGTTAGGTACCCATTGTGTGTTCTGCAAGGTGTTTACTACTATTGAGGACACAAAGAAATATAAGATGTAGCTACCCTCACCCCCATCAAGATCTCTAACTTTGCCTTTGAAGCCTTCACATGATACACTCCTGAACTGTTGAGTCTTGTGTTGCTTATCATTGCTCTTCTCAGAAGATGGAGGAAAACATGAGCTCTGGAGCAGCAATCAAGGCCGTCTTCCTAGAAGATGAGCATTTGAGCTTGACCTAGAAAAATGAGTAAAAAGGAACTTTAGAAACTCAATTCTATTACTGGCTTTGGGGGCTATTACAGCATTTCAAGTGTTTGGTTTTATTTTCAGGTTAGAGAACAGAGGGAAGGAGTGAATCACTGTGAAAGCCTGATGTTTAGGTGGCTGTTTATTTTAGAGACAGAAGAATTCAGTTAATCAAACATATGGGACATCTAGTAAGTATTGGAAACAGTACATGACACTGTTTTCTGATAACTCCAGTTTCTTCAGTCTAGAATAATTCCTCTGCCTTTCTTTAGCTCTTATGACCTTGACACTTTTGAAGATTATAGACCAGTTATTTTGTAGGATGTCCCTCAGTTTGGGTTTGTCTGACGTTGGCTTATGATTTGATTCAGATTGTGCACATGATACAGTTTGGATATTTGTCCCCTCAAAATTTCATGCTGAAGTTTGATCCCAAGTGCTGGAGGTGGGCCCTGGTGGGAGGTATTTGGGTCATTGGAGTGGATCCTTAATGTATGGGGAGCTGCCATTTTGTGGGAGTGAGTTCCCACTGCAACACCTGGTTGTTGACAAGAGGCTGGCACCTCCTCTGCTCCCTCTTTTCCTTTCGTTCTCTCTCCTGCTTCCTCTCTCACTGTGTGATATCAGCCCCACTTTGCTTTCCACCATGAGTGGAGAGATGGCACCTTTGGCAGAAATAGCCGGAAGTGACCATGTATTTTCTCATTGCATCCTATCAAGTGTCACATACTTCTGATTTGTCTCATTTCTGCTACTCATTTTGATTACTTGATTAAGATGATGTCTACTAGGCTTCTCTCCTGTAAAGTTAGTCTTTTTTCTCTTTCTAATTAATATACATTTGAGGGAAAATGCTTTGAAACTATGTGAGCACTCTGTTCCTCATCAGACATGCAATTTATTTATTCATGTATTTATATTGGTATGGTCTTATGCTTATGTCTGTACTAATGTAACATCATTATTTAATATGTTATTACTATTATATCTGTTATTATTAATACATAATGGCAGTATTTATGATGATATTCAATTATCTCAGTTTGGTCAGTGGGAGCCCCTTCAATCTGGCTTCTGTGTCTTTTGCCTCATCCCATCATTCTTTGAGTATGCTCTTGCTTTCTGGGACAATAAGATGTTCTAGGGTCATTTTGTACTTTCCCAGTCCTATAGTTATTTCTTCAGGGAACCTTTTTCTCCCTCCTCTGAAGAGTGATATTTTGAAGCAAAGATCTGGGCACAAAATGTGCTCATTGCTATCAGGTGCTGCTGTTCCAGACCCTCTCAATGGACAGAGGTAGAGAATATGTGTGTATATGGGCATATGTGCATGTAAGCCACAATACCTGCTTGCAGCTCTAGTTATTAGTGTATCTATATACTAATATACATGTATGGAAAATTATGGGTTTACACTAATGTTGTAGTCCTCCCTTATCTATGGTTTCACTTTCTGTTTTCAGTTTACCTGTGGCCGACTGTGGTCTGAAAATTTTAAATAAAAAATTTCAGAAATTATCGGGGAACCTGCCCCCAGTAGTCATGTAGGTTCTTTTCTATTTTCCATAAGCATCGGCCGGGTTGAGAAATAAAGGGACAGAGTACAAAAGAGAGATTTTAAAGCTGGGCATCCGGGGGAGGCATCACATGTCGGTAGGTTCCGTGATGCCCCACAAGCCGCAAAACCAGCAAGTTTTTATTAGTGATTTTCAAAGGGGAGGGAGTCTACAAATAGGGTGTGGGTCACAGAGATCATGTGCTTCACAAGGTAATAGAATATCACAAGGCAAATGGAGGCAGGGCGAGATCATGGGACCACAGGACCGGGGCAAAATTAAAATTGCTAATGAAGTTTCGGGCACCATTGTCATTGATAACATCTTATCAGGAGACAGGGTTTGAGAGCAACCGGTCTGACCAAAATTTATTAGGTGGGAATTTCCTCATCCTAATAAGCCTGGGAGCACTATGGGAGACTGGGACTTATTTCATCCCTACAGTTTCCACCATAGAAGATGGCCATACCCAAAGGGGCCATTTTAGAGGCCTACCCTCAGGGGCGCATTCTCTTTCTCAGGGATGTTCCTTGCTGAGAAAAAGAATTTAGCAATATTTCTCCTGTTTGCTTTTGAAAGAAGAGAAATATGGCTCTGTTCCGCCTGGCTCACCGGCAGTCAGAGTTTAAAGTTATCTCTCTTGTTCCCTGAACACTGCTGTTATCCTGTTCTTTTTTCAAGGTGCCCAGATTTCATATTGTTCAAACACACATGCTCTGCAATTTGTGCAGTTAATGCAATCATCACAGGGTCCTGAGGCAACATACATCCTCCTCAGCTTACGAGATGACAGGATTAAGAGATTAAAGACAGGCATAGGAAATCACAAGGGTATTGATTGGGGAAGTGATAAGTGTCCATGAAATCTTCACAATTTATGTTCAGAGATTGCAGTAAAGACAGGCATAATAAATTATGAAAGTATTAATTTGGGGAACTAATAAATGCCCATGAAATCCACATTCTTCTGCCATGGCTTCAGCCAGTCCCTCCGTTTGGGGTCCCTGACTTCCTGCAACAAGAAATACATAATTCATAAGTTTTAAATTGTGTGCCATTCTGTGTAGTAGGAGATCTTGCACCATCCTGCTCATACCTTTGTCCAGTATCCACACTGCCTAGGCCATTTGCCTGTTAGTCACTTCCTGCTTATCAGATCCAAAACCATAGCACATATAGGATTTGTTATTATTCATGGTCTCAGGCATCCAGTGGAGGTCTTGGAACATATCCTCTGTGGATAAGAGGTGACTACCGTACCTTCGCTTCCAGGCCAACATCATAGTATTCATTCTGGTTTTCTCCCTTTTATATTTATGAAAATATCTTCTCTGACAATGATGTAACTGGCTTTCATTCTCCTTAGTATTTGATCAGTCTCCCTGTTTTTGATTAATATCCCATCTCCATTATTGCTACCATTCCCTGCTCTCTTCTCACCAAAATTCAGCTCCCACATTCTGTGCTGGCTACTCACTACCCCCTTGCCTGATATGGATGCCCTCCTCACCCTGCTTGGGCTCTGACCTCCATGTCAAGCCACGGGGCATTGATTCTCCAGACTGCTCCCTCTGGGGCTGTCCACCTTAGCTTGCTCAGGCTCAGGAACCTAGCACTGTGCCTCTTTCTCATTAACACGGACATTTTTCTCATCTTGCTCAGTCCTGGGCTCTGTTACCCTGCACCATGTATCATGCCTATGCAGATGTCTTCACTCTGCTCAGGCTATGGCCTTCTGCTAGTCCACCTCAGCTCTCCTCTCATTCCAACCCTACACAGATGCATACTTTTATCTGTCCTACTTAAGGGCTTTAGAACTGAACTGTTCAGGAAGGGAAAGGTAGGGAGAGAAGGGCACCATGTTTGTCTGGGTGATCACCAAGGGCCCTTCCAATTCATGCTATGGGGATTTAGACTGTGAGTGCCAGCCACTCAGCATTGCTTACTTTTTCATTTCCTGTAACCTTCATAACAAATCTATGAAGTTGACCCTATGCTGGCTTAGCTACAGATTCCCAGCTCTACCTTAGTGTTTCTTGGAGCTCACCAAGTCTGGCTCTGTCTTTTGTAGTTTTTCTAGCCTTAGCTTTCTGAATGTGTGTTCGCACCCCACTGTTATCCTGGCTCTTGGTATGATGCCTACTGTCCTGGTGTCCAGGGGTCTTCTGTCCTTTTATGGGTCACCTACAGGGTCTCTGCACTGTTAGAGGGCTTAGATGGAGAGACTGTCCCAGTGCCTGGCACCATGCCTGCCTCCCACTTTCCTCTGTTTTTCCAGCTGCCCCTTGCGTTTCCTCAATAGTTCCTTATGCAGCACTCTGGATATTAAGTAAGCTTTGTGCTAATTTCAGCATGAAAAGCTCTGTTTAAAAGTTGCAGTGTAGACAACTCCTGTTTTAAATTATTTTTGCTCTAAAAGCTTTTATGCTATGAGGACTTAGACTTTTGTGAACCCTCCCTTTGTGGAAAGCTGCAACCTTGAGGATTTTCTTATACTGGAGCCATCCCCAAAGCAAATTCTATTTTACCATGATTCAGCAGAATAATTTGTAATAGTTCCCTAAGTAAAGCACCTTTTAAATTTATGTAAAAATTAGAAAGGAAGAATGAGGACCACAATAAAGATGAAAGAGTCAGGGGAGAAAAGGCATGAAGAAAGCACATTTTGCTTTTTTGCATAGGATTACCAATTATTTTGCTTCTCTTATGAGTTACAGATGAACGTTTCCAATGACTCGCTGGGCCTGTCTACCTAGATGTCTTAACAAAGTAAAGTCATAATCCTTTTGTTCTGGAGATTGAGAAGGCATTGCTGAGAGATGGTTAAGGAGACAAAACTGAGGCTTCACCCGATTGCATGAGTGGTGCTAATGGCATTTACCCGGGTGTCCAGGTGTTCAGGGAGATCATGAAGTCAAAAAGGGGATGGTGTAAGAGGAAAATGAAGATGTGTCAGGGTGTGGAATTTCATGGTTGTGTAAGAATGAGAGGTAGAACCTATTGACCCATGTGGCCCTGGCTGAAAGATTTTGATGAGGAGAGAAGCATGAGTCTGCATAAAAAATTACTTCTCTCCCAGAATACCCTACCCTACTCTGGACTGCTTGGTAGCATCTAGGACTCAGCACAAATGCTCCTTCTTGCATTGCGTTGTCAGGAACCCTAGCATAGCAGTCCCATTGATGGGGAGAGAGCAGAAACCATAATGCACTTACATGCAAGACTGAATAGTAGGAAATTAACCCATTTATGCCAGAGGTTGCAAGTTTTTGTGTGTGAAAAATCAGACCTTGGCGACGACCTTGAGCAGTAGGATAAAAATAACTCCTACAAGCTTAGCATTCCAATAATGGAACACTAGGCAAAAATGGGTTATGCTCCAAATGTAGGCCACCCTATTTGAAAGAAAGAAAAATACAGGTCAGAGCATGAGGAGAACAAAAAGTGTGAGTTTGAGTTTTTCTTTTGGAAGTTGAAAGAGAAATGAGCAAAGCCACAGGAGAACCAGAGGTTAACCAGAGACAGGATGGTTGGTGAAATGAAGTGGCAGAGGAAGTAAGAGGTCCAAAGCTGACAGCACAGTGAGAAGACTTTGCCTTAGATGGAAGTACAGGCCCTTTATGCTACAAAAAGGATGAAAAGGAAGGAGGGAGTAGCTGCAGACAACTGTGAGGTTGTGGGGCAGGAGGTGGAGGGAGCTGCAGCAGGGCCTGGAGTCACCAAACCCTAGCAGTACTAGTAAGGGCTGTGGCTATTGAAGCCTGATTGAACAGTCTGGGGTTCAGGGAGAGAATCCAGCCAGGAGACTGTGTGGTCATGTGTGCCACACAGACTGGGGGGACAAGACAGAGCTAAGGGTGGGAGCAGCTCAATTGGCCATATGTGCCACACAGACTGGAGGGACATGGCAGAGCTAAGGGTGGGAGCAGCTCAGTTCAGCGGGACTGGAATGCTTAGCTTCAGTTGATTTGAGCACTGCACTAAACCTAAAGCATCTGAGTTTGATTTGGTTTAGCACTGCACTAAACTGAGGCTGATTTGGCTTAGTACTGCATCTGAGGCTGCCTTTGGATTAGCACTGCACTAAACCAAAGGTGTCAGAGGCTGATCAGTGACCAAACAAGGGCTGCACCTGCAGGCCGAGGATTCCTCCTATCCCTGCAGGGTGGCCCTGGGGATCCAGGGTCTCATATGCCAGAAGGGCTGCAGTAAGTAAGGCTGCTGCATTCCTGGGGCCTTGGGCATAGAGCTGAATACTGTTAGTACAGCTTCCCATGGCTACAACCAGTTTCAACACCTGACTGTGTGCCAGGCACTGTCAGAGGTGCTTACTTCTTTATTTCACATAACCTTCACAACTAATCTATGAGGTGGTACCATTATCATCTCCACAGTTGAGAAGAGGAAACAGGCCACAGGGAACTTAGGTGAGTTGCTCAGGGTGGCACATCTGTGGCCAAGCTGTGAGTTAACCCAGGCTGCCAGGTTCTTCATCCTGAGGTCTTCACCAACATGCCATGGTTAATTAAAGGGTGAGATGGAGAAACTGAAGCAAGGAGATAGTGTTAGGAAACCCTTCCTAAACAGAAGTAGTAAGGAGAAAAGAATTTGAATACATACAGTGAGACCCTAGAGCTCAAGCATTGTATATCTTTACCTGAGATCTTACAAAGAGGAAGATGAAGATGTAAAAGAATAAAGTAGGCTATGCTGATATTTCACATCCTGGCCAGAGATCACCCTGCTTTTGTAAAGCTTTGGAGAAAATGGGTGTAAGTAAACTTGCCTCTGGGGCACTTCTTCCTTCATGGAGATTTGGTGTCTTTCTGCAAGTGGAGATCCTTAGGCTTTGTCAAGGAAAGTCAGTGAATGGGGAATTAGTGAGTTTGCTTAGAAAGATTTATCTTTTCATCAAAATACATTTAGAGGAATAAATTTGAATTATTTAATGCCCAAACCGTCTTCTTTTTGTAGTGTCTTTTTCTTCCTAGCTAGTCACTTGATTCAGCCCTAGTAAAACACAGAAGAACTGTCTTCTTCCCGTTTCATGAAGTTACCAAGCAAACTACTGTATTTGTTTATAGTGAACAAAAATGATAGCACGGACAAATGCGGAGAAGCAGGGCTAATGTTTGTATTGCTTGCGTTTCAGTGAAGAACGCGATACAACCTTTTTGAGTGGGCAGGGCACGGTGGTGGGGATAAGGGTGGAGAACACTGTGTTGTGGGAGGAGTTTTAAAGTGGACAGTCAAACCTAGGAGGCAAGAAGCTTGATGTTGGTGGAAACCAAGAAAGGACCCTCTGTCTTCAGTCGGCTCCCCTCAGCATGGAGCGCAGACCTCATTCTCTGGTTCCCTTCCA
Source organism: Homo sapiens (assembly GCF_000001405.40). NCBI lineage: Eukaryota > Metazoa > Chordata > Mammalia > Primates > Hominidae > Homo > Homo sapiens. The sequence continues at coordinate 40,888 of NT_187551.1, read as the reverse complement.
GAGTTGGAGCCACCATATGTTCAACTAGGAAAGAAAATTGACCTGGGATCCTGTAAAGAAGGAAAAGCATGTGCCTCAGTGTGACTTAGTAATGCACAGATGTGGAAAGGACACACACCAATTAGCGTGACAATAAAATGACTGACAACAGCATACACCAAAATTCAGGTCTAAAATACGGTTAAACCTACAGTCCCTCATATTGATTAGCCTATAAAAGACACTTGAAATGTGGGATAAAAGATTTCTGCTAATAATAGCACACACAGCTTATATTGCCAAAGCTTACTAGAATCTTATAACATAGATATTCTTATCATCTCCTATTTGTAGACAATGATACTGAGGCACAAACATGTTAAGTGCCTTTCTAAAAGTCACATATGGAGAGAAGATTAAAGGAGCCTACCCTCAGCTCCTGTGATCTTGATCTCAACGCTCTTCTGCCTCTTTTTTAAATCACAGAAAGATCAAGTTTGAAAAGACCTGTTTTAGGATCTTCACGTTTTAGAGGAGGGAACTGCGATCAAAGGAAGTTGGACACACAGTTGACATAGCAACTCAGGTTAATGCCAGAATTGGGAGTTTGAATCCAGTCGTTTTTTATCCAGCAGAAGGGGCAGTGACTATAAAACCATGTTATTGTTTCTAAGAGTTTTAGTCCATTATCTGCCCTACAGGTACACTTTCTCTTTGGAAATGACCTTCCTTATTCTGTGGTAAGCTCTTCCTCTTCCCTTTTTTCTTCCTACTCACTTCAGTCCCTTCACCATCCCTCCCCAGGTCCTCTTCTCTGCTCCATCTTTCCTCTTTTCCTTTCTTCTCCCTCTCTCCACTTCCCTGTTACTTCTGCTTCTTTCTTTTTTTCGTCTGTGACAGAGTCTCACTTTGTCACCCAGGCTGGAGCGCAGTGGCACGATCGCGGCTCACTGCAACCTCTGCCTTTCAGGTTCAAGCAATTCTCCTACCTCAGCCTCCACATAGCTGGGACTACAGGCATGCACCATCACACCCGGCTAATTTTTGTATTTTTAGTAGAGATGGGGTTACACTATGTTGGCCAGGCTGGTCTTGAACTCCTGACCTCAAGTGATCTGCCTTCTTCGGCTTCCCAAAGTGCTGGGATTACAGGTGTGAGCCACCGTGCCTGGCCTAGTTCTGCTTCTTGAATACCTTTGTGGCCTACGATTCTTTTTGTCTGCATTTATTCCTCTTTTTCTAACACTATCATTTCCAATGTTTTAATTTTCCTTTTTTAATCCTTTGACACCATTGAATCTGCCATTAGAAATCTAACAAACTATATAACTGATGTGGTTCTTGTTATTGAATGTCTTTAGTCCTTTCAGCTCTTAAGTGTTAACCATTGCTTCATAGTCTTTAAATGTGCATAGTCATTGCTCAACCTGGAAGCTATACACCACACCTGTGTGAGTCCACATGAGGCACAGGGGAGCTTCTCTATAATCCTTTCTGTGGGGATGTTGTGGGGAGTAATTAAAACACAGTGCTATTCTTCATGACAGTTCTCACTAAAAAAAAAATATGAGAGCTGTTAAGCGGAACCACAAATACAGATTTAATTGTGATGTTTTACTGGGCTTAGTAAATTATAGTTTCAATATTGTACCCTCTGTTGTCTACTTCTAATTTTTTGACAGTACGTTTTCAGAAAGGCAGGCTTGCTCAACAGAAAATCTGTTTTCTGGTTAAAAGTTACAAATGTGGCTTCTTTAAAAACTAATTATCCCCAGTGTTCTGGTGTAAGAAGTGTTTACTAAGTAACTCAGTGATTGGATCCAGGTAGTCACTGTCATGGACCCGTCTCCTTGGTTTTGTTACTGTCATATTCCACATATCGTCTTAAGCTTTCTTTTACAAAATCATCATGCACTTCAAGAAGGACCAACCAAAAGAACCATGCAGATGCTAGGAAGGGAGTGGGAAGTGCTCTTAAACCCAGAAATCCCATTCGGCTGGAAACAAAGACATGCCCTGCCCTGTGGGGTCAGATTCCTGCAAGAAATGAAGGATTTTCAAGAATTTCTTGGTGGAACCAAGTGGTAGATTGTCAAAGGAATTTGTTTATTTCTGTGGGTGTGGCAAGCAAAGTGCTTATGAGGACTTTCTCCAGTACATCTTTGGAAGAGGTAATTAAAAGCAGCAACTCAACTGAGGCTGGCCTAGTAACCGACCCATCTCCACTTTCCACCATTGCCACTCAGTCCTTCCATTGCCTGGTCGATTCTGTCTCCAAAGTATTATGTTGGTGCATAAGTAATTTCAGTTTTTGCCATTAAAAGTAATGACAAAAATAATACATTTCAAGTCCTGTCTGTCCACTCCCCTACTCGGGCCCAGCCCCGATCTCTGACCTGGTCTCATTCCTCCCTAAGAGTTTGTCTACACAGGACAGCCAGAGGGACTTTTTTAAAGCACACAGTGGGGCTTGTCTGGTGTGCTAAGTCCCCCAGGGTTTTCCCATTGTTCTCTGGTTAAAAGCCAGGGCTGGGCATGGTGGTCCAAGCCTGTAATCCCAGCAATCTGGAAGGCCCAGGCAGGAAGATTGCTTGGGCCTAGGAGTTCAGGACCAGCCTGGGCAACATAGTGAGACCCTGCCTGTAAAGGAAAAAAAAAAAATTTTAAAGCCAGACTCTCCCGGAGGCCAGATGACCTCTCTCTGCAGCCTCTGACCTTCCCATTCTACCACCAGCCCTCTAGGCTCTGGCCACCTTGGCCTAGATGCTCCGTGCTCTTTCCCAGCCCTGGTCTGTGTACCTGCTGCTGTCTGTGGCGCGGACATTTGTTACCTCCACCCAGGTTCTTCTCCCTCAGTTCTCAGCTTCCCTGCCACCTCCTCCGAGAGCTGCTGGGTTCTCTGGGTCAGTCTCTGCCTTACTTTCTTTTTCTTGGCTTTTTACTATTTCCTTCCCACCCAGCACTTCTACAGAATGGACTTTGTGCTTTTTTGTTGCCTTGGTCCCGTTGTCTGCCTCCCCTGCTGTAATGGAAGTGCCCCCAGAGCAGAGTTCTTGTCCTGTCCACCCTTGTTCTTCTGTTATGTCCTTAATATTTAGTTAAATAAATAAACATTTGTTGAATGAATTCATTCCCAGCCAGCCTTCCAGGTTTTGCAGCTGATCTTTACCCTCTCCCAGAAATGTAATGTGCCACCCCTGTCTAGCTGGCATTTGCATGTCAGAGGAGGGTGTTTGGAGAAGGCTGGTCCAGCGTGATGAGCCTTCAGGTCCGGGGCTGCCTGGGACCTTTCAAGTCATTCCAAATTGGCCCGGCCCCCTCCTTCAGGCTGAGGAAGTCTTTTGTGGCTGGTGAACATCCTGCATCCCTGCTTCTCCCTCCACCCAGCCAACCACAGTGGGCATGGCCGTGTGATTTTCAGATTCTGTGCTCACACGCATTGGGCTTTTTCACTTGAGGGAATGCTTTGTGATAACTTAACCTGCTGAGGATGTGGGCTTCATGAAAACAAAAACAAACCCAGTAACATCCATACATTTGCTGAGCTTCTGGAGCATATGTTGCCTATTTCCCTTATTTGGGTCTTAGCATAAACTGCCCAGATAGACACAGAGAGAGAGAGAGAGAGAGAGAGAGAGAGATGGATATTATCCTCAGTTTGATCATGAATTCTGTGAGGGCAGAAAATCTTATACTGCTCTGTATTTTCCAGTCCTGAGAACCTTGCATATATTTCATTTCTTTAAACCTCAGTTATCTCAACTCTAAAATGGGGACAATAATTGCTACGGTCTGTATGTTTGTGTCTCTCCAAAATTGATATGTTAAAATCCTTACCCCCAAGGTAATGGTATTAGGAGGTAGGGCCATTGGGAGGTGATTAGGTCATGAAGGGGAACTCTCCTGAATGGGATTAGTGCCTTTATAAAAGAGGCCACAGCGAGCTAGTTAGTTCTTCCATCATGTGAGGACACAGCAAGAATGTACCACCTATGAACTAGGAGACAGGCCTTCGCCAGATACTGAATCTATAGGCACTTTGATCTTGGACTTGCCAGCCTCCAGAACTGTGAGAAATAAATTTCTGTTATTTATAAGCTACCAAGTTGATAGCATTTTCCTATAGCAGCCTGGATGGAGTAAGACAATACTATTAATTTTACAAAGTTAGTGCAAAGATTAGGGATAATGCTTAACAAGTCTTTACCTGGTGCTATGGACTCTCAGTAAAAAGCTAATTTGGTCTTGTTCTTTCATTACTCAACAAATACTTAGTATGGACCTCACTGGGGATACAGTAAGACAGACATGGCCCCCCTGCCTTTTGGTCTTACGGTCCTGGGAGGTTATGAACTGGGGCTCTGGGTACCAATCCTGGCTGGACCACTTATTAGCTGTGCATCTTGGACAAGTAACTTCTCTGTTTCCTCATTTCTAAAAACAGATTCAATTTCATGGGTTGTCCTGAAGTTTAAAGAGATAGTATTTGAAAAATGGTTAGCCGCATTCCTGGGTTATGGAAAGTACTATTGTTTATATTCTATTGATAATACTTGGCAGGTGTTGCCACACGGTCAAGTGAGTTTCCTGCTGCTTTCCTGCTCCCTCTCCCTGCAAGGGCCATTGGGACTCCACCATTCTCAAGGATATTAGGTGGATCAAAATCAGTCCAAAAAGCACTATCAGCAAGGCCTCAGACCTTTTACTTGTGACCTAAATATGTATTTTAAGCAGGCATTTGAAAGAATAATTTTTGGCCAACAGCAGCATGTGTGTAGACATAGAACACAGTGTCCTAATCCTCCAGGAAACTAGGGACATCTGTCCTAAATTCATACCTGCCCAGGGAACTTGGGTGAAAGGTATGTGTATGGGATGGTGGTTAAGAGGGATTGACCTGACTTTGGAGGATGGCTTTGTCCTTCTGACTCCTCCAGTGGGGATTCATAGAGAAGGGCAGGGCTCCTGGCCTTTCGGAATGCAAGCTAAGAGTTCATAGAGGGTCATGGGTTCCTGAGTGAGGAGTGGGTTTTTCCCTAACACATGCCTGGCAGTTAACTCATTGCTAAGAATGTGGCTCTGATGGAAACCCTCAAGAATGCTAAAAACGTGTTTCAAAGATAAATTTCATTGTTTTCTCTATATATGAAAATAATACATCTTATTGTAGAATATTTGAAACACTCATGAAACTACCAAAGAGGAAAATGAAAATTGCCCCACATCCCACCACTAAAACACTCTTGTATATTGGGCCCCTGTTATGGACTGTATTGTGATTCCCCCAAAAATTCATGTTGAAGTCCTAACCTCCAGTACCTCAGAATAGAACCATATATGAAGATAGGGTCTTTAAAGGGGTAACTAACTTAAAATCAGACCTTAATCCAATATGACCGCTGTCCTTATAACAAGAGAAAATTTGGACATAGAAACATACAGAGGGATTATGATTTGAGACAGAGGGACAAGACAGCCATCTAAAGCCACCAAGCAGGGCTGGAACAGATTCTTCCCTCAGAAGCCCTCCAAAGGAACTAACCTTGCCTACACTTTGATCTTGGATTTCCAGCCTCCAAAACTGTGAGAAAATAAATTTTTGTTGATTAAGCCACTCTGTGGTACCTTCCTATGACAGTGCTAGCAAACTAATGTAGCCCCATTTTTTCCTATGCATGTAGTTAATAATTTACATCATTTTATGTATTTAGCTTTGAATCCTGTTTTTTATTTAATATTTTATTGTAATCATTTCCCGAGTCATGAATTTTTTTGTGAATTAATTTTTCTAGCTACAGAAGATTTCATTGAATGGCTGTGCCATCATCAGTTTAACCATTCACAAAAGCTTGGACGGTTTTTGAGAGAGAGTTTGCAGGTGTAGAGCATTGTAGAGAAAACTTTTTTTCTTCCTTGGTTGAATCTACTCTCCATTGTAAGGTACTTAACTTCCTAACAGATACAGTCAAATGTACCTTTTATGTGTGAATTATACAGTTTGAGATATTTTAGCTAACTTGTTCTAGGGAGGTTTTTGAAGAGATGTAAAGACTTAGGACTGGTCCTTGAAAGGTGAAAGTGAACCACTCTTTGTCTCTGAAAAGAAAAGAGAGCTGATATAAATGACAAAGTCCCTGAGCTCCCCTGAAGAGGCAGCTGTGAGAATTCATGTTGCAATGATTATGACCTCGTGTGTCCTTGCTGTGTGGCTTCCCAGTCACAGATACAGAAATGCTTGTCAGAGCTTGGTCCCTTGAGCTTAAGTCCAATGAGGCCAATGGGTACATACAAACTAAAAAAGCAAATACTGTTATGCAGTTGGAGGTGTACTTGGAACTTACTGGAACATGGTTTCTTTGAACAGAAATTTTATTTCTTCCCTCTGCCTTCACATCATCACCATAGTTATTCATGATCATCATCTCACACTAATTCCCATGTGTTCTTAGGAAAAAATGGCAGCAGTGACTCACAAGTTTTGCTTTTATTTCATGGTGACTTATTTATAGCTATTGTTCTTCTGGAAGATCAATGACTAGAGAGAAACAAAAGCTTCCCTGGAATCTATGTGAACAAGAGAGATGATATTGACTGAATTTAAAAAGTTAAATTTAAAGATAGAGGAATAAGCAAGTGGCTTTTTTCCCCTTCACTTTTTGATTTCAGGCCATTTGATTTCAGGCCAATTGTTCAGTCTGGTTTCTGCCTCCCACGGCTGTCTTTAGTGCATATGTGAGAGTCCGAGGGAATGGACCTTATATTTATACTGATATAAATGGAAGCAAAGTATGGGTTATAGTTAAAGAAGGGGAAATCCAGCTCTTTGTAACCATCCTTTCAAATAAAGCAACATTGCATTATTGTCCCCAAACCAAGCCGCATCAAGGGAAAACACCACCACCCCGCTAGTGCCTGGTGGAAATTCTCTCTCTGAGCATGCGCATTGCCAGATGGTAGAAATTGTACACGTTTTGCTGAGTCTTTAATGTCTAACACATTTACTTGCACATTTGTTGAATGGAACTCGATTTAAATCTGAGTACAAGAAGAGGGAATTCAATTTTGTGCTTGAGACTATTCCAATTACAATGATTATTTTCAGTTTTCATATAGTGACTTTAAGTAGATGTACTGTGCCCATATCCAAAGGGTTTTTTTTTCCTCACAAAATGTTCAGTTATTTATTGGGTTGTTCTCATTGCAAAGCAAATAGGTAGAACCTGTTCATATAGTACAAATGAGGAAACTGAAGCATAGTAAGCTTGTGGACTTCGATGAATCTCACACAAGGAGTCAGGGGCACAACTTGGGAATGAATAAAAGACCCCCTTCCTATCTAATTATTTCAATCACCAACTTATATATCCTCCCATACAATCCCAGGTTTTTCTTTGGAAATCAAACTGCAGATACTGTTCACACCTTTTCGTGTGAATCTATCAGATAGTTTCAGCAATGGTTCATGAACGACAGTCTTGGTGATCACTTGAAGTGTGAACCTGAAAGCTGCAGAAATCACTGCATTCTTCAGAAGAGAAGGGGCTGTGCTTGGTACCAGCTACCTTGCAGGGACCCTGTGAATCCTGTCTCCTAATTGTAACTGTTTGTTTTGTCATTCCTGGCAGAATGCTTTCTAGGCGTCAGGAGCCCTTGAGAGGACCTCCCCACTTCTAGCTTCTGCAGTGGCCTTGGCCATAGAGCAGGGCTTTCATGACTGTCTCTGCCACCTGGAGCTTTCATCTTGGAGAGCTGGTCATTTATCATGGCAATATATTTTGTTACCTGTGAAGGCAGGAGGGATAATAATCATAAAAAAGCAGCCAGAATAAAAAGAAGGTGATTAAGCAGTCTGCTTAATTTCAGCTATTATTCTATTGGTAATTAAGCAGCACAGTGAATGTGGATTAAGCTTGTTACAATCATGTGATTTGGGGAGTAATGAATCATCTAGAAGGAGGACCAGCTGGAAGATGGAAGCAGGACTCTTCAATTGGAACCAACAACGCACCTGCTATTAGTTCTCAAAATGCAGTAAGTCAAGCAAAATATTTGCCTTCAGAAGCCAGACTACTATTTGGGCTAATTTGTGCAGAAACTTTCACAGGATAGCAACACTTAAGATCATTGTTTATTTTTGCTAGGCAGGTAACTCACCATCCTTTAAGAGACAGTATAGTAGAGTGGTTTTAGTGGTGGAGTCTGGAAGCAGAATGCATGGACTGGAATTCTAGTTCTGTCATCTTTCCATTGTATAATCTCGGACAAGATATTCAATCTCTATATGCCTCACTGACCTCATCTTTAATAAGGGATATAAATTGTAGCAGTTCATAGGATGTGGCTTCAATGAGTTAATATCTGTAGCATGCTTAAAAGAATGTCATAGTAAATATGCCTTACATAGTAAATATTCTCTATTGTTTTTGCCTATTGTTATTTCAATTGTTTTAACCATTCTTCTGGTGTATCATATGGAGCTATGTGTGTGTGTTTTTGTGTGTGTTCTCCATAAATTAAGAGTCTGTTTGTAGCATAGCCATGAAGGAGATCATTTTGAAAATGGAATTAAATCAGGAACCAAAAGCATCAAATCATGCTACTGTTTTAGTATGGGCTTCTTTTGCAGAAACTGAAAATAAGAAAGAATTCTTTTTAAAATTAATATATATGTTTAACTTATGTATATATCCAGTAAGACACTGTCTATATCAGTATATACATATACTGATATAAGTGGAAGCAATATAAATGAAAGCTATATATATACAGACAGAGTTTTGCTGTGTTGCCTAGGCTGGAGTGCGGTGGTGTAATCATGGCTCACTGCAGCCTTGACCTCCTGGGCTCAAACAGCACTCCCATCTCAGCCTCCCAAGTAGCTGAGACTACAGGTGTGCGCCACCACTCTTGGCTAATTTTTTTTCAATTTTTAATAGAGACAGTGTCTTGATAAGTTGCCCAGGCTGCTCTTGAACTCCTGAGCTCAAGCGATCCTCCAGCCTTGGACTCCCAAAGTGCTGGGATTACAGGCGTGAGTCACTATGCCCGGCCAAGACAGAATTCTTTAGCAAGTGGCTTTAAAGTTGTTAGGACCTCTTGTCCCCAGACACTTCTGTGTTTTATATCAATTGGCTGCTTTCTTGGTAGGCTGACCATTTTCTGACTATCTTCTCTTGTGAATATACTTCTAATCATGTAATTGAGCTAGTCTTATATCAAATTGTGATATCGATCAAGTTTATATTCCAGTTGTCTTACCTCCTTTTTGCCATTTTTCTCCTCATATCACCTCTTCCCTCTATCTTCTGAAGGGATCTGGGTGGTACAATGGCTCTCCAGAGCCCTTATTGGACCATTTAACTGAGGTCTTCCAACTTCATGGATCCTTTATTTCTCCAAAGTTGTCCCATCATTTCTTCTTTAATCCATCAGAGCCTCATGCCCACAGCATAGCTAGAAATGTCTACCTCATTTCAAATTTGAGATCCTAGCTTTGATTTATATCAAAGCCACTGACCTGTCTTCCAGTTTGGGCTGTCTGGCCTCCCTTTCTTCATATGTTAGGGCTCAGGGTTCTAACATTTTATTGAGTTAGAGGTAGGTATGGGCTAGACCAAGAGAGTTATGGAAAGGGCTCTCTGAATGTCACTGAGGCTGATTGCCTCAGATGGAAAAGGACTGGGGCCAGATGGATTTCTCAGTATGAAGCGGGTGAATTCTTTGGGAATTGAGGAAAGCTGGTCAACATTAGAGTGGGACTGGAAAGGGCCATTTTTAAAGGAGAATTTGTACTTTCCGACCACAGCTGCTTAGTTAAGTGAAATCTGCTCTTAGATGTGTAGGGGAATTGTTTCCAGGGAATGAGTTCAGGGGAACAGAGAGGCCCATGGAACAACATGCCTCAGGAGGAATTAATTATTAAGACCCAAGGGGGTTGAAGAAGGCAGGGGGCAGCACAAAGGCCAATGGTCAGATCCTCCTTCTATGCAGTTCTTGGGAAATCATTTCTTAACTTCCAGGCTGAATTTGAAGTTGAAGTCATAGCAGGCAGCTAGCTGTGTGCTGCTTTGGAAAGGTGGGGAGGGAAGGTCCTGGCTGGTGAGAAGAGAAGAAGGATGGAAAGAAGAGTAGTGAGTTTAAAGTATGCAATAATAAAACAGCAACTCAAAGTACTATTAAGAATTAAATCCAAGCACACAGGGAAAAAATAGAGTATGCAGTGAAAGGTCATATCTGGATGAAGCTTTGCTAGTAAGGCAGGTTAGGATGCCCCGTCTCTAAGGCCAAGTCCTGCAGCAGCCTGAGCATCTTCCTTCATGTTACATTCAGGAACGCCAGCTTGGGGAGGAGCACAGCTCATGAGTATGAGTCTCTGAATGGGTTCTTTTCCCATTATTGGCATGCAAGTAGCCTGACGAAAGGTGCCATCTGTTTGTCTCATTGAACTGTATCAATTACGTGATGAAAGAGGTTTTAAGATGGCCATGTGCTGGAGTGGATCTCATTCAGAGCAGTATGGTGTGTATGCCCGTTGCTAGTGTTACCAGGGCTGACAAGGCAAATAGCAGCATGACCCTTTCCCTCCCACTCCCCATCCCAAGTGGAGAGGGATTCCAGTTTTCAATAGGAAAAGATAAATCAAGGATTAGTAACTGCAACACAGGGGCGAAAGAGGATGTTCAGGGCAGAATCTACTGCGACAGAGCCCTCCCTTTACCCCTTCTCCACCAACAAGATCCTGAGTCACTGCATCATACCCTCTGCCACAGTACAGTGGGATCATGTTGGCTTCCCAACCACATACATATTTCTCATCTTACCTCTGCCCAGGGTGGATTGTTGAGCAGATGGTGTTAGAAAAACTGGCTTATAATATGGAGAAAAATAAAACTAGAGGGTCTCATACAAATATGGACCCTAGGTGGATTAAGGACTGAAACGTGAAAGGTAAAAGTATGAAGCCAACAAAAGAAAATGTAGGATAATATTTTAGTGACTTAGTGGTAGGAACATATTTCTTAATAAAGATCCAAATAAAACACAGATTATATAGCAAAACATTGAGAAATATGATTATATAAAATTAAGCATTTCTGAGTTAACAGAAAGATATAACAGTAAGAGATACCTGAAGAGTTTGGTGTCTAAAAGATAGAGGACATTCTGGAAATAAATAAGAAGATGGGAGATCTGGTAGAAAAATTGACAAAAGCACATGAGAAGGCAGTTTACAAAAGGGGAAACTGAATTGCTTAATAAATATATGAAGTGATACTCGAACTCAGTGATTCAGAAAAATACAAATTAAAAGCACTTGATGTTACTTTATACCTGGGAGATTGACAAAGTCTCAGAAGTTGGTAATGTCAAATCTTGGCAGATATAGAAAACAGGACCTCTTGCACTGCCAGGGGAGTAGCCTGGTGTGACCATTTGAGACAGAAGTCTGAGAGTGCATTCCAAATTAAGTGGTCATATGTCCTGTGACCCAACCATCCCATTCCTGGGTATATGCCCTGGAGGAATTCTTAGATAGGATTATGAGGAAATGATCACAGTGCTGATTTTGGTAAAGGAACTGAAGGTCAACTTAGTAAAATGCATAAAGAAAAACAGCAAATACACACTATGGAATATTTTGTAGCAGTTAGAAGGAACCCACTAGATATGCCCACAGCAAATGGATAGATGGTAACAAGGTATATTTGAGTTTTTTTATAAGACAATAAATAGCATAGTATTTATGACACAATACTATTGATATAAAATAAACTACATTAGCAAACAAAAACATTCTATCTATCTATCTATCTATCTATCTATCTATCTATCTATCTATTTTTTTTTCTCCAAGGACATATCCAAATGCGAGGATACATGTCAAAGCACAACAGAGTGGTTACTATTTTTTTATTAACATGTTTTTTTAATGGGTGAGTAAGACAGGGAAGTGGGGATAAAGGAAATTTGCTGAGGTAATAGCTTTCTATTGCTGCATAATAAGCTACCACAAACTTAGAAAGTTTGGAACAATACCTGTTTATTAGCTTACAATTCCGTAGGCCAGAAATCTGGCACAGCATGACTGGGTTCTTGGCTTAGGGCAGCACAGACTGAAATGAAGGTATTAACGGGCTGAGTTCTCTAGAGACTGTGGGGAGAAGTCCGTTTCTAAGCTCAGTTCTTTGCAGCTGTAGGACTGAAGCCCCTGTTTCTTTGAGTGATAAACCAGTGACACCATCGACTTTTAGAGACTAACTGCATTTCTTGCTATGTGACCGTCCTTCATCTTCAACCCAGTGGTGACACATCAGATCCTCTTCTGTTTCCCATCACCGACTTGTGTCCCTCTGCCCAGCTGGAGAAAACTCTGCTTTCAAAGAGCTCTGTGATTAGGCCATGGTCACCCTGATAATCTCCGTATTTTAAGGTCGACTGTTTTGGAACCCTACTTACATCAGCACAGTCCCTTCACACAGCATGTAGATTAGTGTTCCTTTGAATGACTGGGAGTCGTGCCTACTCCAGGGCTTGGAATCTTGGGAGCCATCTTGGAAGTCGGCATATCACACTGACCTAGGGATCAGTTTTTTTTTTTTTTCTGGTATCCTTGATCTTTAGGAGATGGTTTCACATTTATTTGTTCATTAGCGTGTCCATTAGAGAATTCCTAGCCTATAAATATCTCATCTTCCTTTTAAATCCTGAGTTGGTCTGGGGGTAAATATGTCATAGCATGCCCCATGAGGAACCTGATATTGGCATGAATATAATGAGTGGCAGGTAGTTTTGCTATAAAGGAAGCCAATTTAGGCTTATCTAGCTGAAATGTTTCAAACACCACAAAAATGCCACGTTCTTGTGGGTGACTTGACTGTGTCACACTGCCTCATCTGTTCCGCACAGCCTGCCAAGTGTAACCATGTAGTCTTCCTGGATGGGGTTGCTGCTGTTCACAACTGGCTTTGAAGAATAGTTTTTCAGTTACATTTTCCAGGTCCTCCTAGCCTGGGGCTGTTTTTCTGCCCCTGTGTATGCCCAGCCTTTTTCTGCATCATCTCCTGCTAGCACTGACCTTGGCTTGGGATCAGAAATGTCGTCATCTTGCTGTAAAGAAGAAAGATCTTGCCTGAGATGTCAAGGTTGCCTTCTGAGTCAATTCTCAAGAGTTGCCAAACAAGTGCTATATTTCTTTTCTGCAAAGTATTCCTTTTGGAAATGCATGCAGTATAAAATATCAGGTAAGGGGAAAGCTTCATGAAAACAGAGTGACTTGAGAATCCATCTGTTTACTTCCCTTATTCAAGAAATGATATTATTTAAGAAAAAAATTTTGTGGTTATATAATAAGTGTATAAAGGTGTGATATTAGTAATTACTTACCTTATGCTATTGCCATTATTTGCTCTTGTGGCTTATAGGTGAGAGTATAAAGTTACATGAAATACAAAGAAAAAGCCCTCTGGCATTCAGGCTTTAGATTTTATGTTTTCAATTAATTTCTTTAGGTTTTAAGGAGCACCTACGTAATTGTGTATGTTTGATATAGTATTTTTCCAGGTCCCCCACCATGGCTCCAGTCAAAGTAGCTCTGTTCTTAATGATTTTATATGTCTGGGTAACTTTTCCTTGAAATCAAATATTCTGAGAACCTGATGCCAGAATCTAGTTTTCATTGTCAATTGTTCAGCTTTACATTGCCTTACAATTCACACATTTATTTTCGCAAGTCACAAAATACAAAACTCTAAATAGAAAACAATAGCTAAGTGTTTACATACTAGGACTTGTACAAAATAATGTATGTGGATTGTATCAGGGGTGGGAGAGTTTTTTTTTTGTAAAAAGCCAGATAGTAAATATTTCAGGCTTTATGGGCCCATGTGGTCTCTCTCACAATTACCCAACTCTCCTGCTACAGGGTGAAACAGCATAGACAATGCGTAAACAAATGGCCATGACTCCGTTCTCATAGAACTTTATTTACAGATGGGCCAGGTTTGGCCCATGGACCATAGTTTGCTAACATTGGATTCCACTATTTAATCTTTGTAAGAGCCCTATAGGTAGAAACTATTATTATTTAGCCATTTTACAGATGAAGAAACTAAAGTCTAGAAAAGCTAAGACTGGCTTTTTCAGTATAACTCCTGAACTCAGCTATTATTTCTTGAGCTGTTTTCCTGATTACCGCTAAAGAAAAATATGCAGTGGAAAAATATTTGGGGTCTTATATTTTAGTACTGTGGATGAAAAGAAAACACAATCTTCCTGAGCTACAAGTATAATGTTCCTGCTGTAACTTCTAATCTATTTCTTCAATGTAAATAAGACTGACCCTCCTTGACTCCTACCTTCCTAAAAGACTTGATCCTAGTTGATAGAGGTCAAGGTTGTGGTCTCAGCAGGGTCAATTCTGAAAGTGCTTCCCCAAGCCCATCTGTCAGCCTTGAGCAGACCCCTAATGGGCTGAGAAAGGGACCAGGTCTTTATGCGGTGAATGAGACACATCATTCCATAGACATTAATTTTTGTGGATGAACTGAGAGCTATTTAATAGGAAACAATTACGTGACTTATTAAGGGTCATTAAATTTTAGTATTCATAAAGTCAGTACATGACTAAAGCTTATTATAGACTCCAATTTGGTATTTTACTAAGAAGCCCATTCTCCCCGTAATGCCTGGCAATGTAGCTGAGGTCTCACTACCATCCAAACACATAGATGGCTGCAGTTCTGCAGTTTGGGGACAGAAGTTTACCATCAAGGTAGTACTTAACTGTTTATTTTTATTTGATACTTGTTTTAGTGCTTATTGTTTATTTGGTACTTGTTTTTCATTATAAATTGCTATTAGTTTAGCTTCATTATTAATTTAGGTTATTTGTTAAATAGCCAATAATGGGCAGTGGTACACATTTTCATCAAGAATATTTCTATGTTTTCAAAGAATTAAACTCAAAATTATATATATATATATATATACACACACACACACATACACATACATAAACATATTTCTGTTTTCAAACAGACTTAAAAGCATATATATATTCATGCATATACATGAGTTCATACATATATTCATACATTCATACATACATGTATGCATACATATGTATATGCAAATTGAATTACCAATACTTAAACCTTTGCATATACACTTTTCCAAATTTGCTAGTATTAATATTACTATTTTTTATTAACATTTTTTTTAATGGGTGAGTTAGGTGGGCAGCTAATCATTTGCCCTCACTGAGCAGACTATCATTTTTATAAGTTTAAGTTCCATAGCTGAGGAAGAAAAGTTCTTTGCTAAGCACACTATTGTAGACCACATCAAGATGCATAAATTGAATATAAAATTTTCAAAGAGAAGTAGAGAAAACAATTTATTTCTTGACTTCCCTTAGAAATGTCCCTAACTCTTCTCACCAACAAATCATCTAGGAGTATAGAGGTGATGTAGTTTCATCTTCCCTGTTTTTAAGAGGACTTCTTTTTTTAACACCTCCTAACTGCAGTTCACATAACGAAGTCAAATGATGTGTACCGCCTGTTCAACTATGGCAAGGTAGAGATCTGTTCCAGTGTGGAGTTTTCTAAATTCAATTTGCAGAGGTGAGCTGGTGCAGCCACAGCATCTAGACCAAACTTGATTCTAGTTTGGAGATACTCTCTTCTGGTTACATAACTGAGGAACCACATGACAAGAATACTGCTAGCAAGGTCTCCACGGAGGAGTTGAACCAAAACTCATTTGGAAAGAATTGCTTGCCGTTTGGTCTTACTTTCTCTCCCACTTCCAGAGAGTTTTTGTATAATGGATTATTGCTTCTTCCTCTATCGATTTGCAAAGCAAAAACCATACATTTTAGAATTATCACTGGAAATTACCTGATCTTTCTTTGCAAAAACAAAAACAATTCTGATCACATAAAATTTTAAAGCACTACCTTGATCAAATAGTTTTATGCAATTAGTTAAGAGACTCATATGCTTTTTGCCCTTTAGTTCCTTTTGGGTTTGTGTAGCATCTGCAACACAAATCCTGAATGTACAAATTTTCCTCTTTGCCAGAGTTTCTGCAACATTCATGCAGCTCTTACTTACACTCATCCAGCTTTGGCCACTGACTAAATCTCTCATCTAATGACATGATATATCCAGCTCAGTTTTCCTCTCTAAAAAGTTTGAGCCCACAGCACATTCATTGATATCACCAGAATCCTGGAAACTTGCACGTACTCTGTGTTCTTGGATATGGTCAGGAAGATTTGTCTGGAATTTCAGTAGATGACTTGACTCTTCATACATATAAGGGATTTTCAGCATGCTTTGTGGAGCCACCTCCACAAAGAGACCTTCTTAATAGTAAGCTCTTTGCAGAGCAGAAATGATTTTGCAAACTGGATCTTTGCATAAGCATGGGTGAAACCGCTGTAGTTTTCCCGGGAACTCTATTAGGATGTGCTTGCTAGCTACTTTTAACACACAGCTGCCAAATCTTAGTGGCTAATATCAAATTTTATTTCTCATTCACACGATAGCACAGTCTGGGTCAGCATCTCTAGTGGGATGGCTCCCCTCCAAGAAATAACTCTCCTTCCAGTGGTAGCTCAGGAATCCAAACTCCTTCATCATGTGGCTTTTGCAGTGTTAGAGTCCCTCACTTCCCATTCTGCTGAAAAGCTATCAAAGTATGAGCTGAGAGTCTTCTAGGAGATTTTAGGGGCCAGATTGGGAAGTATCATCCTAGCCTTAACTGTGTAACTTTACAGAGCAAGGGATGCTGGGAAGTTTTCTTGTGTGACCAGAAAGAGGAAATGGGAAGGTGAACACTGAGGCAGTCTCTGCTGCAACACTGTCACGAGCCTTTCTTCCTCACTTGTACTCCTGAACTGATGGCCTGCCCCTAGACAGCCACTCATTAGCACAGCTGACAGGCTCCTCTTCTCAGGCAACCAGCACAGCCCTCTCTTTTTTGCTTTACACTCCTGGTCTGGATGAAGACAGTGACTTAGAGTGGAGGAATCTATTCTTTAGGTATGATTATGTTATGATTGCTCATTTGTTTTTTATTTTTATATGGACTAACTTGCTCCATTGAAGCCTACAAAAATGTAAACCTGGGGGCAATGTCCTCTTCTAAAAATGAACTGACCAAATGATCTTTTAATATAGAAGGGAACCTACCTTCAAGGGCATTCGAGGCCCACAGCTCTTCACTGGGGCTGCTGCAAACCCGTAAGTCCCCCCTTTCTGTTCCCGTCTTCTGGCAGGTGGCTTCACGGGAAGGTAGCATAGAAGTCTAGGGTTGAGTCCTGGGTCAGGCTCAAGCTGTGTGACCTTGAGGTGAAGTAAAATTAACCATATAAAGCCCTAGCCCAGTATCTGGGATTTAGTTCTTAGGATATCTTAGTGCTTGTTATGATCTATTATTATTGAGAAGAAAGAGGTTTTCCTCAGTGAGTGAGTTGGCTCATGACCATGATATGCTTGGGACTCTTTAACAATTTAAAACTTTTTTCTTTTTCAACAAGCTTTATTGGGGTATATAACTGACCAGTAAAAATTGTATATATTCAAGGTGTATAACATGATTTGATACATGTATGCATAGCATAATGATCACCACAGTCCAATTAACCAACATATTCATCAATTATTTTTCTTCACACTCTTCCTTCTCTGCCCCAATTCACCCTATTTTTTATTCTAAAAACGAGACCCCTGTCTCAATCAGATAATTTTTTCTCATTGAAGGAATCTCAAGGGTCATTCTGAAACGGATTAACGAAGACATACAACATATTTTATTTGGATTCCATAATATTGAAAATAAGCCAAAACTGACAGGTAAATATCAGGAGTTTCCACCTAAACATGTGAAGTTTCTTCTTCTTAAAAAAAAAAAAGGCAGAAAATGTTATAGCAATAGGCTTTTATGCCAGCTGGGCCAGAGTCACTGGGGGCTGAGTCTCCCCTCCCTACAGGGTGAGTCCCGTCTACTCACTGTAGCTCCCACCACTACCTCTCTTTTTTTCTGACACTAAGACCAACATGTGGTAGTCACCATTGATCATTATATTTGTACCTTGTTTGCTAGTGGTTGAAGGATGTTGTTTCTCTTGTGAATAACTACATAAAAAAGAGAGGATAACAAAAGATATGCCTAGGGTGTTAAATGTGTGACAAAGACGGGAGAAGGCATAATTCGTTGTGAAAGTGAAGATCATTCCTGCTTCTAAGTATAAAGCATGTGCCAATTTTGAAAGAATAACAGCCAGTGTGCTTCACTCATTCATGTTACCAGTTTGGCCCTGAAGGCAATTGAGCTTGCCACCCAGGGAGAAAAGCTCTCAGTTGTGTATAATTAAGTATCAGAATAGATAATGCAGTCAATATTATGGGCAGTCCAAAGGAGGGCTTTGTATTTTTTGTATTTCTTTTCTTTTTCTTTCTTTTTTTTTTTTTTTTAGAAATGGGGTCTTCCTCTGTCACCCAGGTTGGAGTGAAGTGGTGTGATCATAGCTCACTGCAGCCTCAAGCTGCCGGGCTCCAAGGATCCTCCCACCTCAGCCTCCCAAGTAGCTGGGACTATGGTGTGCACCATCACATCTGGCTAATTTTTTAATTCTTCTATTTGTAGAGTTGGAGTCTTGCCAAGTTGCCAGGCTGATCTTGAACTCCTGGCCTCAAGCAATCCTCCCACCTTGGCCCCCCAAAGTGCTGGGATTACAGGCGTGAGCCACCATTCCCGGCCTATATTTTTCTTGAGCTGTGCAATGATGTTTTTTATTTTTCTTTAGAATCATGATTTTATTTTTTATTTAAATTTTTTAGTAAGAAGAGTACTCCTTTTAAATACCAATTAATTTTGCAGATCTCCTGCATGATAATAGTAATAATCATAGTATCTTTTAATTTGTGGACCAAGAAAATATATATGTGCACATGGATTTGAGGATTCTTTTAAATTTTGCTGCAACCCACCAGCCATTTGCAGGTGATAAGTTGAAAAACACTTGATGTCTATAAGTTCACTTTTTATTGGTAATTAAGGAACTTTTGGAGAACACCATGGAGATTAAAGAGGTCTTATAGAAAATATAACCCAATTTCCTCATTTGCAGATGAGGAAACTGAGGCCCAATAAAAAGTGAATGAGATCACAGAACTAAAGCCAGAACTAAAGTCTTCCTCCCAGGGCTGTGCTTGCATGCTCTGTGTCCAAGTGGGCAATTATACGTCCCCAGGGTGAGGTTGGCCACTTAGAGAGCTTTCAGAAGTGAATTTTCTACTCAGTGTTAGAGACCAAATGGAGCATCATGTGGCTTTTCATTTTCAAGGCATTAAAATAAAAGAAATCAGGATTTAAGGCATTTCCCCAGCATGGAAGGGAGAAATAGGATCTCTCAATTGTGGAACATGGAATATTCCATGGTGATAAGTTGTAGATTCCAAGGATAGAGAGGAGACCAGGAGTGAGGGAAAAATATAGTAGTTATTTTTCATAAACAATATTATAGAGGACATTTGTAAAAACAAAACAGAATGTGACTTGAAGATGCCTAAATCTTGATTAAACACGTGGAAGAGTAAGTTTTACTATTTTAGTCTAGACAGAAGGTAGACAGTTTCAGGAAATCTAAAATTCATCAGTTCTAAATGAAGAGCTGGAATGTAGTAATCAGTGACTTGGTTGGCAGAGAAACATTATTATACTGAAAACCTTTCATTAAGAGGATTGAAAGGGTGATGTTGGGTAATTAACATCTGTATAGCAAGTTCACAGCTAGAGAAGGGAAGTAGCTTCATGTATTTGATAAAAATGTGACTTGGAGTAGCTAAGCAACAGGAATGATTTTTTTAAATTTAAAATTGTAAGTAAAATGTGTTGCCTTATATATTTCAATTATGTTAAAGCTAACAACGAGTACTTAGAGAGTGGGGAGATGCCTCAGTCACGTACTGCTGGTTGGAAAAGATCGTGACAAGAGTGTTCAGAGGGCAATTTCTTAATGCAGATCAAAATAAAAATTTGTATGACCTAAAACATTATAATTTCATTTCTAGGATTTTATTTCCAGTATATCCACTATAAATCAGTGACTGGGATGATTACAACAGTATTGGCTATAATAACGAAATACATAAATTGGAAACAAACTAAATGCCAAAAAATAGAGAAATGCCCAACAATTGGCGTATCTTCATACAGTGGAAAATTATGCAGTCACTCCCAGTACTTGGGAAGATTATTTGAAAGTAAATAAAGGAATTCATAAGATTGCTAAATATGAAAAGCAATACATGATATGACTCAAAATTTTACATTATAATGATTATAGATATAAATGTAGTAAAACTATAAGAATGTCATTAATGGTCATTACTGGTGTTATGATCATGTGAGATGATGATGATGATTGTTATTATTTTAACTTTTAGGTTCTGTGGTACAAGTGCAGGTTTGTTACACAGGTAGACTTGTGTCATGAAGGTTTGTTGTACAAATTATTTCACGACCCAGGTATTAAGGGTAGTACCCATTAGTTATTTTTCCTGATCCTCTCCCTCCTCTCACACTCCACCCTCTGAAAGGCCGCAGTGTATGTTGTTTTCCTCTATGTGTCCATGTGTTTTCATCATTTAGCTCCCACTCATAGGTGAGAACATGCCGTATTTGGTTTTCTGTTCATGCATTACTTTGCTAAGGATAACAGCCTCCAGCTCCATCCATGTCCTTGCAAAGGACATGATCTTGTTCTTTTTCATGCTGCATAATATTCTATGGTGCATATGCACCACATTTTCTTATCTAGTCTATCATTGATGGGCATTTAGGTTGTCTATGTCTTTGTTATTGTGAATAGGATCGCATGAGATTATTCTCCTGATCTATATTTTCCAAATTTTTTTTTATATATTAAGCTATAGCAATATATAGTTTAGTAATTAAAAAACCCAACTCCATAATCAAACAGAAATTTCTTCTCTCAGTCAAAACCGACTTCAGTTCTACTGGCTACAGAACAGTTTATTATCTCCTCTACCAATAAACTGTTTATCAGTTGTCTTTAGATGTTGTGCAAATGCCACTCATAGTCTAATAAACATATGTTAAAAGATCTGTATAAAGTTCTTCTAAGAGGTCCAGGATAGGAAATGCAAAAGCATACTTAAAAGCAAATAATGCAGGTGGTGCTTTTAACATATTCCAACATGATAACAACTTGATTATTGTTGGCAGTTTGCTTTATGTTTAATTTAAATCTGTTGCTCTTCATTTCAAAGATAAAATTCCCCCTGCAAAGAGCAAAATCCTAGTATTTTACTTTGATTGCTCCCAAATAATTCTGTGATTTCAATTTTTGATTGAAAACATCTAAACAGTGCTAGAATTTGAAGGAACATTTGAAATTATATAACCCAGTCCCTATTTACAGGTGGCACAGCTGAAACCTGGAGAAATAAAGTGATTTTTCCAAGGCCACAGTTAGCCAGTTCCAGAGACTCCTAAATAAATGTCAGCCACTCACCATGCCCAACAATACCTAGAAGGGCTTGCATGTGTCCTTCAACAGCAGAAAAGAAACCAATTGTTACCAGATAATCACAAATACAAAATGGCAGCAAGAGGATGGAGAATATTCCTTTTCCCTTCCGAGATGGCCAACTTTTAGCTCCCCATGGGTACTGTGAGCTGCTTCTTTCCTTGGTCTCCTGCCTCTTTCCTTTTACTGCCTCTTTGTCCTTCTCATCTAGGTTGAGGTAGGAAGTCCATCACTGATGGCCCCCAGATGAGATGGCTCCTTAGTCCTTACTACAGGAAGTGTTTGGGTATCTCAGATTCTTCTGAGTGGATCGTTTATAATGTCCATGCTTCCCAAAGTAATACACAGACTTAACACAATTCCTATGAAAATTTCAATGGTGTTCTTCACAGAACTAGAAAAAGAATCCTAAAATTTGTATAGAACCATGCAAAAAACAAAAACAAAAACAAAAACAAACTGCAAATAGCTAAAGCAAAACCGAGAAAGATAAACAAAGTTGGAGGCATCACATGTCGAAATTTAAAATTATAGTACAAAGCTACAGTAATCAAAACAGTATGATACTGGCATAAAAACAGAAACATAGACCAATGGAACAAATCAGAGTGCCTAGAAATAAATCCTAACCAACTAATTTTTAACAAGGGCATCAAGAGGACACAATGAAAAAAGAATAGTCTCTTAAATAAATGATGCTGAGAAAACTAGATTTCCACTGACAAAATAATGAAATTTGATTTTACATCATACAAAAAATTCAAATGGTTAAAAGATCTAAATGTAAAACTTAAAACCATAAAACTCATGGAAGATAACATAAGGAAAATGCTCCTTGAACATTGGCCTTGGCAATGACTTTTTTTGGATATCACACCAAAAGCTCAGGCTACAAAAGCAAAAATAAATAAATAGGACCACATCAAAGTACAAAGCTTTGCACAGCAAAGGAAACAATCAACAAAATGAAAAGGCAACCTACATACTGGGAAAAAAATTTGTAAACTATATAACTGATAAGAGGTTAATATCTAAAATTTATTTAAAAATTCTTACAACTCAATAGCAGAAAACAAAATAATTTGATTAAAAAATAAGAAAAGGACTTGAATAGATATTTCTTAATAGAAGACATACAAATAACTAACAGTTATATGAAAAAGTACTGAACATCACTAATCATCAAGGAAATGCAAATTAAAATCACTATGAGATATCACCTCACACTGGTAAGTTTGGCTATTACCAAAAAGACAAGAGATAACCAACGTTGGTGAGGGTGTGGAGCAAAGGGTACCCTAGTACACCATTGGTGGAAATGTAGATTGGTACAGCCATTATGGAAAACAATGGAAAACAATATGGAGATTCCTAAAGAAATTAAAAATAGAACTAACATGTGACCCAGCAATCCCTCCTCTGAGTATACCCCAAAGAGAGGAAATCACCACCTCATACATAGATCTACACTCATGTGAATTACAGCATTACTCACAATAGCCAATATGGAAAAAACTTAAGTATCTATAAACAGACAAATGGATAAAGGAAATGTGTATATATGGAATACAATTCAGTCTTAAAAAAGAAGGAGATCCTGCCATTAGGACATTATGCTAAGTTAAGCTAGACACAGAAAGAAAAATAATTGCATGATGTCACTTATATGTGGCATATTTTTAAGAAAGAGCTTGTATACCCAGAGAATGAAACAGTGGTCATCAGGGGGATGGGGGAGAGGAAATATGGACCTGTAGGTCAAAGGATGAAAACAGCAAATATATAAGATATATATAAAATAGTTTAGAGATCTAATGTAACATGAGTACTAAAATTAATAAAATTATATAATATTAGGGATTTTTGTTGTAGAAAATAAGTAGATTTTACCTGCTCTTGTCACAACAAAGTAACTATGTGAGATGATAGATATGTTAAACTGCTTCACCACAGATTTATTTTGCTGTCTACATATATCCTATGTTGTAAACCTCAAATGTACACAGTAACATTTATTTTTAAAAAGACAAATAAATCCATACCTTGCTCTCTTTTCACATGATAAAACCTCAATGCTCTATTTATATGAAAAGGATCTTTTAAGTATCTCTATATTCTACTATGGAAAGATTTACATGATATAATGTTAAATGGAAAAGAGAAAGGTGGAGAAAAAGTCACATATTTTAAAAAATGAGATGATCAGGGACATCTGAATACTGACTGACTATTTGATAAATTAAAGAATTATGGCTAATTTCTTTAGGCGTGAAAAGAGCATTGTAGTTGTATTTTTTTTTAAAAGAGAATCTGTGTTTTTGGAGATACATACTCAAATATTTTCTGATGACATTATCTGCTGTCTGGAATTTGCCACAAAATAATCCAGGATGTGGTTTGGGGGAAGTGGGTGGGTATAGATTAAATGAGATTGTCCAAGAATTGATCATTGCTGAAAATGGGTGAGGAGTACATGGAGGTTCATTATACCATTCTATTTTTGTAATGTTTGGTATTTTCCATAATAACAATATAAAGAACTCCTATTAGGATGTTTAATGGAAAAGGCAGGAACTTGAGACCCTTGAGTATTCAGGGTTTAGAGAGGGAAGAATGAAGAGGGTGAGGAGAATTCCATTCTGTGGAATCATAAATATTTCTTGACTGACTAAATGATAAATTGCAGGTATGAATGAATTGATAACCAAACCTGATTCTTCTAATTCTAGTGCAAGGCAGTTTCCACTAAAGTTCAAGTTAATGTCTCTTGTAAAACATAGACTACTTACTACCTGTAGGTTTCAAGATTGGAGTTTCTTACTTGTTTATCCAACATTGTACCACATGCTTTGACCTTGCTGTGTGACTTATCTTTCCAAAATGGCAGAATTGAACCTTCCTTTTGTCCTCCAAGCAGCTGTTTTGTGTAGAAGTCTGATTAATATTTTTTAAGGATACAGCTTGAGTGATCAGCTCATAGACTGAGAGGCTGTTTGTTTTTCATTCTTGACCCCTGCACCCTGGAGAGGAAGCACCGTAAACTACACACTTACTGAGGGAAACAATAGTTTATGTTGCTTGGAAACTTGTTTGGAAATGTTTCAGTATCAACAGAGACCCAATATATAAAGAGCTAGAGTTGTAGGTATCTGAGGCAAAGATGAAGAAATAGGCTACTAAGTTAAAATCTGATTCAGAACAATCCTACTCACTCTTAGAACAAAATTGCTCTTCAGCTTCTCATCCTCAGTTGATGTACCCCCAGACACCCCTGTGCTTTCCTCACCTGTCATTTCCATTGGATTGTGATTCTTTTCATTCTCATTGGCTTTCTCCCACTAGCCTATACTTCACTTTTTGTAACCTCAACACATAGCACAGCACTAAGTGCATAACTGTTAAGTAGTAATTCTTGATTGGATATGTTAGATAAATGTTAATGGAATCAATAGAGGTTATAATCCTCATAGAAGCAGAGAGTAGAATGGGGGTGAAGGGAAGACTGGGGATACAGAGGCTAGCGGGTGAAGGGAAGGGAAGGGGGAGATGATGGTCAAAAGGTACAAAATCTCAGACAGGAGGAATATATATTTTTTCTTGTTTTGAATTATATTGCATACCATGGTAGATACAGTTAATAACAGAGTATTGTACATTTCAAAATTTCTAAGACAGTACATTTAAAATATTATCACAAAAACTGTTAGGTACTGCATTTGAGATGATGGATGTGTTCACTGGCTTGATTTAATTATTCCACATTGTATTCATAAATCATAACATTATTTTATACCCACAAATTTACACAATTATAAACTGTTTCATTTATAATACAAAAAAATCCTGAAGGTGAGGAAAATATAATCAGAAGACAGAAAAAGATCTGACAGGCGGTGCGCATTTTTCACCCAAGGATACTGAAACTGAGGGAGGCCCACTGACTTGCTCCTAGTCACTATGGCAGGACCAGACCTGGGTGCTCATCATCTTTCCATAGAATCACACTACTCTTTGTTTGAAGGATGGCAAATTGGCAATGAATTTGCAGACGGAGACCAGGAGGACCCATGAGAGAGCACAGGACATCCATCTGGACATTTTCTTGGTATGTGAACTGATGGATGCTGGTCCACACCAGCTGTGAAAGGAAAGAGAAGAAAGAGGGTCTCCATTAATATCATCAGAACTTTAGAGGAATCCTTCCTGGATAGTTAGAGGAGATGGAATTAGGACTGGTCCTGGATACCTTTGCGATCTGGGTAAAACTTGCCTTTCCTGCTTTCAGGACTATGCGCTCCTCTCTCCTTCATTTGCCAGGACCCCAGGATATCTGCCTTGCTCATTGTGCAACATCTTTAACGTTGATGTCCTAGCTAAGTCTGTTCCCCATAATCCTCTAAAATCTTCTTTTTTTAGCTGAGGCTTCTATAATAGAACACTGTGGAGTAGGTGACTTAAAAAACAGATATTCCTTTCTCAAAGTTCTGAAGGCTAGAAGTCTGAGATCAGGGCACCAGGATGGTCAGGTTCAGGGCAAGGGCCCTCTTTCTGGCTTGCAGGCACTGGCTGACTTCTTGCTGCATCTTCACACGGCAGAGGGAGGAAACTCTGCTGTCTCTTCATCTTATAATGGCACTAATTCAGCATAAGGGTTCTACTCACAGTGCCTCATCTAAACCTGTTAATAATTACCTCCCAAAGGCCCGGCCTCCACATACCATCACACTGGGATTGGGGCTTCAATCTATGACTTTAATGGGAACAGAAACATTCAGTTTGTAACAACTTCCCTGACCTGTGCACCAGTCTCCAAGACCCAGAGGGTGCAAGGGAAGAGATGCTAGCCTGCAAAAGTAATCAGTGCTGAGGTGTAATAGCAAATTATTTTTCCTGCATTGTTAATTTCCCCTTCATTGCACCATCTTGCTGTTATTTCTTCCATATTTAACAACAATAACAACAACAACCCTCCTTGACAAGCCCAGCACCTGAGTTGGCAACTCTGCTCCACATCTGTAACAAAACTACTGACAGTATTTGCAGCAAAATCACTGTCTCTCATTACTCCTTTTCCTATTCTTTCCTAAACTCTACGATTCGAGAATTTGTCTCCATCACTCCTCCTTTCAAGGAGTGTCTTGTCAGTTCCTCTGGTCGAGGTCACAGTAGTCCCCACATTGATAAAGCCAACAGTAAATTATCAGTCCTGAGTTGACTTATCATTGTCACTGACGCAGTTGACGTGAAGTTATTCCGTGAAGAACTTTTTCTAGTGTGCATGTTGTACACTTGCCTCTCCATTTTTCCAGTTCTTTCTTTTTCCCAGCCTCTTAATGTTGAAGGATCCTAGGATTCAGTGCCTGGGCTTCCCCTCTACTCATCTACACTTATATTCCCTGGGTGATTTCATCCAGTTCCATTGAGATTGGCTTTTCAGAAAACCAATAAACATATGATTCCCAAATTTATATCTTCATCCTAAATATCTGCTTTGGATTTCAAACTCATGTATCTAACTGCTTAATTGACTGCTCCACTTAATTGAGCTAACAGAAAATTTAAATTTAACTTATGCAAATTGAACAGAACAGTAAGTCCAGAAACAGATCTCACATGCAATCACTTAATTTAGGAGCAAGGTAATATTACAATGCAGGAAAAGGATGGCCTTTTCAATAATTGCAATGGTGAATTAGATATCTATATGGAAAAAAAGTAAATCTCAACCTCTATCTCATATCATAAGCAAAATCAGTTCCAGATGAATTTCAGGTTTTAGTATAAAAAAGAAAACCTTCCAATTTCTAGAATGTAATACAGGGGAAAATATTTATAACATTGGAGCAAGGAGCAATTCCTTCATTAAAACACTAAGATAAAGGAAAAGATTGATACATTGGATTTCATTCTAATTAAAGACATCATTAAGGGAGGGAAATAGCAAGCCACAGATTGGGAGAAAATATTTGAAGAACATACTTGCAACAAAGGATTCATATTCAGTATATGCCCCAATTTCCTGAAAATCAGTAAGAAAAGACAGAAAGCTATTTTTACTTACCTATTGCCTCATAACAAACCACCTCAAAACTTAGTGGCTTTAAAAAAGTAACCATGTTATTTTTGTAATTTGAGCAATTTGTTAGTTTTGCAATTTGGGCAGAGCTCAGGGGGCACAGCATGTCTCTGCTCCACATGGCATCAGATGAGGTGGCTTGACGGGGATTGGAGAATCCACTTCCAAGACTGGCCATTCACATGGCCCACAAATTGGTGCTGGCTGTCACTTGGGAATCCAGCTGGAGCTGTTAGCCTGAGACCTTAATTATTTTCCATATGGGCATTCCCATATGATTTGTTGAGTTTCCTTGTAGCATGGTAGCTAGGTTCTAAGTGAGAGGACACAGAAGCTGTCAGCCCTCTTCAAGGTTAGGCTCAGAACTGGCAGTGCATAATTTCTACTGTATTCTACTGATCAAAGTAGTCAATGGCTTAGCCCAGATTCAGCGGGGTGGAGAAATCTACTCCACCACTCAGAGTGTATGGGGAATGGCTGCAAAGAACTTGTAGCCATCTTTAATCAACCACAGCAATTAATTAAAAGATTCACAGACAACTTGAACAAGTACTTTGCAAAAAAAGGTTATTCAAATTACCAATAGGCATCAAAATGTGCTCACCTTGTGTTATCAGAGAAATACAAGTTGTTATCAGAGAATTACAAGATAACACTACATACCGATCCAGATGGCTAAAATGAAAAAAGCAGACAAACAAATCTGGCAGCACAACTATTGGGGAGGATGCAGAGCAATATAGACTCTTTAAATATTGCTGGTGGGACTTTAAGTTGGTGCATAACACTGGGAATCTGTTTTGCGTGATCCAGCAAGTCACCCACATGGCTGCAAGCTGGTACTGGCTATCACTTAGGAATTCAATATGAATTAGTTTTTTCTGTTTTTGAAATTCACGTAAATAGAATTATACAAAATAAACTCTTTTGTGTTTGACTTTTGCTTTGATTCTCCTTCACATGAGTCTTTCTTCCTGGCGGCCTGGGCTTCCTTATGGCATCTTGGCTAGGTTCTAAATGAAAAGATGCATTAGACATATGTATATATGGATATATACCCAGGACAGATGCACATATATGTGCGACAAAAGTATGTACAAGAGAGCTCATGGCAGCAGTATCAGTAATAGTCCAAATTGAAAACAAGCCTAATATCCATCAATAATTGAATGGATAAATGAGTTGTGATGTATTCAAACAATAGAATAATGCACAACAATGGAAAATATATGAACCATTGTTATATTTAACAATGTGGATGATTCTCACACAGTTCATACTGAATGAAAAAAGTCAAACACAAGAGTTGATATTGTGTAATTCCATTTATTTACATGAAGTCCAAAGCCAGGCAAAACTAATCTATGTTTATGAATGTCAGAATAACAGTTATCTTTGGGATAGGTGATGACCAAGAGGTGTGTGAAGGAAGCTTCTCTGTTGGACAGAATATTCTCTTTTTGATCTTGAGGTGAGTAACTTGGTATGTTCTCTGTGTACAAATTCAACGAGCTGCCCACTTAAAATGTGTTCATTTTTCGATATATTCATTTAAGCTTAAGAAACCAACTTGCCTAAAACTGAACTTCTAATTCTCCCATCAACATCTGTCCTACTCACAATCACTACTCACAGATCTTTATTTTTGAGACGGAGTCTTGCTCTGTCACCCAGGCTGGAGTGCAGTTGCACCACTATGGCTCACTCCAGCCTTGACTCCCTGGGCTCAAGTGATTTTCCCATCTCAGCCTCCCAAGTAGCTGGGACCACAGGCACATATCACCAAGACTGGCTATTTTTGTTTTTTTAATTTGTAGAAACGAGGTCTTTCTTTATTGCCCAGGCTAGTCTCAAACTCCTGGGCTCAAGCAATCCACCTGCCTTGGCCTCCCAAAGTGCTGGGATTATAGGCTTGAGACACCACACCAAGCTGCTGACAAATCTTTGAGTTAGTGGCTTCCCTATCGTTTATGTCATCCCTGACTTCACTCTCTCTTCCTCTCACCTCCCAAGTTCATCTGTAAATCTGGCTGGCTCTGCCTTCAGCACGGGTGTAGATTCCAACCACTCTCTCCTCCTCCACCAGAACCGTCCTGGTCCAGGACACCTTGTTGGCTCACCTGGGTTAATGCCATCATCTCCTACCTGGTTTCTCAGCTTCTACTTTATTTCCCTACAGGCTATTCTTGGTGCCACAGTCAGATGTCCACTCAAAACACAAGGCATTTTATGGCCTCCTCCAGTGGCATCCATCTCACTCAGAGTAAAAGTCAAAAGCCCTTACTGCAACGTATGGGGCCCTGGAGGATATGGCCCCATTTTCTCTCTAGTCTCCTTGAATCCTTTCTCCTCTAGCCATTCTGGTCCTCTGGTTCCTTGAACACAGTAAGCATGCTCTCCCCAGAGGGCCTTTGCCCTTCTTGTTCCATTTCCTCTTCCTGACCACTTTTCTCCCAGATATTGGCATGACGATCACCCCTTTTAAGTCTTTTCAGACATCACCTTCTCAGTGAGACTTGCTGTGACCATCCTAATTGAAGTCATCCTTCCCCTGCACTCCCTTGCCATGCTTTGGATTTCACCTTTGCACTGACTACCTTCTAAAAAACTATATATATTTTCCTAGTTTAATATGTTTATTATCTGTTTTTCCCCTTTATACAGACTCCCTGGGGGATTTTGAAGCAATTTAAAGTTTGGGAAGCTCTAGTGTTGATCATCCTGGTGACAAAGTGCTCTTACATTTCATTATTGAATTTGATATTACTCTATGAGTTGGCACAGTACGTACTATTAGCCCCCATGTTTTTGTTGTTGTTGCTTAACAGATGCAGAAACTAGTGCGTAGAGTCCAAGATCACGAGCAGGGCCAAGACTTATATTTTGGTCTTCAAGGAGTTGGCTCCAAGGCCAGTACTTTTCCTGCCATGACACGTCATCCCCCACATCAAACAGCTGTAACTAAAAGGCAGATGATACACTGGAGAGAACCCAGCAAAGAGGTGGGACAAGGAGCACAGGGAGTGACCAGGACTTAATTTAGATATGAAGCAAGATGGCTGAGGAGTGTATGGACATGAATGTGACAGAGCCTGGCTAAGGGATAACTGGCCCATTGTCTCCAGGGGCCATTGTTGAGTCAAGTAAAGATAGGCTTGGCTTTATTCTGAGTCCTGAGACAAGAAGTGGGGCAGAAGAAAGACTTTTCCCCTCAATTTTAGGGCAAAATTCCTGGATGATGCTGTCATATCCCTTGTTTTGCTGGTACTCACAGAACTCTTAGGGCTCTCAGCTATCCCAGGGATTCACATGAGAATCAAGTCTAGATTTCTAGAAATTACTTCACTTTTTTTGTACTCTTTTCCACAACTCCCCTTCTAATCAGGTTTGAAATTGCTTACAATAAAAGACACATATTGAATAGGACCAATAGTACAAACAAAAAAGATAAATAGCGTATGTGGGGGTATGGGGTGTAATAAGCCAAAAAAGCTTTTTGCATGGATTTACTGCAATTGGAACATTTACTTCTGATCATCCTGGAAGTGGAAGAGAAAATGAAACGTAGTTGTTATGCCTGATTAAAACTTGCCCCACATTTGGTTATGTGAACATGGGATTTTTAGAGGGATACAATCCAAGAGGAACCTATCTCAAAAATCCTCTTGAAAGGACATTAAATTCATGACTGGATTTTTATTTTTACAGGCCTATTTTCTAGCATTTTTTTCTGCTACCAGATGAGTGTTCTGTTTACCCAGTAGCGTTCTCTAGACAGTAAAATGCATTATGTTTTGGCCAGGGGCTTTCAGGGAGGAGTATTTGCATTGCAGGACCACTTTTGTGCTTTCACTCCTGCCTCTCCCCTGAGCACTCTTAGGACTCTGTAATTCAGCATTTTCCAGTGGATCATATTTTCAGTGCTTCTAATCTGTTTTTTTTTTTTTTTTTTCTGTTAAACTTCTTAAGGATTAAAATGCCTTTTACTTCTTTGGTACTCCAGTGCTAAGCCCCTGTATGATTCTCCCTCTCTCCTCTTTCACCCCCACCCCCAGTCTCTACTAAAGAATTGGTACTGCCTCCCATCTGCCTGGAACTCTGTCTCTCCAGCATGCTCCACGTCTTTACTAAAATGTCACATTCCCAGTGAGCCTGACCCTGACTATCATATTTGAAATTGCACCTCCATCCCCACCCACAGCAGCCTTTTCTTTTTGCCCTAGAACCCCTTACCTCTTAAGTGACCACTACTTATTTATGTCTTTTGCTTATTGTGTGTCTCCTCCTGCTGGAATGCAAGATCCATAAGGCCATATTGCAGGGAGTAGTGACTGATAATTTTCAGAAGTGATGAGAGGCTCAATCCTCAGATTGAAGAAGTCATCCCAAGTCGAATAAATAAACATAAATCTAGGTGCATCACAACACAATTAGAACACAACAAAGATAGATAAAAATTTTGAAAGTAATCAGAGGGATTGAGAAGTTTCTTAAAAACAAATATTAGACTGTTATAAAATTTCTCATTAGCAATAATAGAAGCCACAAGACAAGAAAATATCTTCAAAGCATTTGGGGGCGGGATGGGAGGAGTGGAAAGTAAGTGTCAATGTAGAATTCTGAATCTGCTAAACTCTTGCTACTCAAACTGTGGTCCAAGGACCGGCAGCACCAGAATCACCTGGAAGTGAGTAAGAAATGCAGAATCTATCCCAGACCTACTGCATCATGGTCTGCAGTTTAACAGGATCCCTGGTGTTTTAAATGCTCATTACAGTTTGAGAATCCCTGATGAAGTGAACTATCATTCAAAGTGAGACCAAAACAAAAACAATTTCAAGCAAAGAACAAAAGAGAGCTTTGCGGAAAAATTACTTCAATAAGAAAAAGAATGGAATCCATAGGAGAGAAGCGGGATGTGGAAAGCAAAGAAATGGATAAATGTGGGTAACCCTAAAGAATTGAAGACATAATCCTTGCCTTCAGGAAGTTTATCATAGTGCTGAGAAGAGGAAACCAAAACACACAGGAAACAGAGGGTCAAGGGGCACCCTGAAAGTAGTCACGGAAACTAGATTCTAGTCCGGAATTGGCTATCTTTTTGTTTGTGTAACTTTAAGGAAGACTTTTAATCTCCTTGGGCCTCAGTTTCTTCATCTGTGAAAGGAGTTTATCTAGATCAGTGGTTTCCAAGCTTTTTTGACCCTGACCTAATAAGAAAAACATTTTATATCTGTACCCAGTTCTTTCATATGAATGTATGTAAATAGACATGCTTATACAAATTATGCTTTCCCTTTTTATATGCAATGCACTCTGATATCTTCTATTCGATTTCCTTTATGCATTTGCTGGTGTAGTGTTGATTTTAAAGAGACAAAACCAAAGATTTGCTGAAGTTATTTTTGGTTCTAACTGTACACAATTTTATTCTAACCGTATGCAATTCATTCCTATAATACCTCTAGATAACTGGTTCTCAAACTTGACTACACATTAGAATCTCCTGTTTTTGTTTTGTTTTAATTACTGATGCCTGTGTTCCACCACAGAGATACTGATTTAATTGGCATGGGGCATAACGGAGATCAGAATTTTTAAAAGCTTCCCAGGGAGTCCAAGGCTGAGCCAAGTTTGAGAACCACTGTTGACAGAGACTCCATACACCAAAGGCATCTCTGCAACTGGAAATAGCTTTTCCCAGGCCCTGCTCCCCACAGCCATTTCAGAAAACTGCACTAGTGTATGTAAAGACACATACTTCTCTAATTCCTTCTGACTACACCGAAGAGAAGTCCTTCTTTCTGTACGCGGCTCGTGCTTTCCCTTCCCTTGAGCCTTTGATCCCGTTGTTTCTCCTTCCTTGAGAACTTTGAAGAATCACTTACCACCTTTCTGTCCTTCATTTTCACCGTGTCCTCTACTGCTAACTTCATCCTGCACGCATTCCAATATGCTGTAATCACTTGAGAGAAACAGTTTGCCCCATCTCTTTCTTTCCTCTTCTATAGTGAAATTTCCTGAGAGGCCCACACTTACTAGCTGCATCCCAGCTCCAACTCGTTGTCAGATAACTGCACTCTCCTTCCACACCTGCTTCTTTTTGCCTATTAACTTTGAATAACCATTACTCGTGATGGTTCTCTTTGAATTCCACACAAGTTTCATTTGCGCTTGCCCAGGTATGTATGTAATGATCTTTCATCTGATACAAGTAATTTACTCTCCATTCTTGAAGTGGTCCCATATTTCTGGGTGAATTAATTATGCCTTCATTTTTATGACTGCATTAAATTTAAATCTGAAAAGTCAACAATCAAGCCAACCAATGATTATGAAAACAATAATTAAGTCAACACCACCAGATTTTTATTTAATGCTTATTGTGTGCCAGGCTCTGAAATAAAGAACTTTACATCTATCATCTCAGTTTATCCTCACAGGTACCCAATGATATAGGCGCTAACATTATTTTATAGATGAGGAAAACAAGGATTACAGAAGAGTTGGGTCATTTGACTAAGATCTCGCAGCTAGTAAATGATGAAGCTAAAAGTTCAAGCTGAGTCTGTCTGATTCTGGAGCCATGCTACTGTATTCCTCTCCTGTATTTAGAAATCTGGATGTTTCCTTAATGAAGAAACAGATGAAGTGTCCATGGCTGAGTCACTTCCTTTCTCTGAACTTTAGTTTTTTTATCTGTAAAATGACTATATCAGGCAGAGAGAAACAAAAAGCAGCAAGTACAAAAGTCCAAAGGCCGAAGGGAATGTGGAACCCTGGAGGAGATAAAAGTCTAATATTGCTGAAACAGACAGAGAAAGGAGAAAAATGGTTAGAGACACACAGAGAGGCCAGAGGAGAAAGGGCCTTGTACGCTGTGTGTAGGAATTCAGAATTTATTCTGAGAGCATGGAAAACCATTAATGGGTTTTAACAGGGGTATGACACGAGTAGGTCTGCAGTTTTAACCTATCGTAGAGGCAGTCAAGTGGGAAGTGGACTGCAGGAGTTAGAGTGCGGGCAGGAGCCACCTGGCGTCAGCAGTTACTGTGTGGCGGCTGCACGGGGATGATGGCAGCTGGATGGATGACAGCCGTCGTCAGGAGAAACTTCAAAGATAAAGTGAACAGGATAAATAGGATGCGTTGGAAATCTGAAACATGACAGTATTCGTTTTCTTAAAAGAAATGTAAACTCCCCTCCTCCCCACTAAATTCTAGAGTAACCAACACATTTAGAAGATCTAGAATCTAAGTGAAAGTTTCCAGGTTGTGGCCTCAGTAACATGTTTTTGCATATCAAGAAGCTCAGACAGAGCCTTGTAATGTACCCTTGGCAGGAATCATGGAGAAGGGGAGTGTCAGCATCAGCTCCATCACTGGACCAAAGCCGAGACTCCTTGACTTGGATTTCATTGAATCGTTTAAAATTAGGTTCTGATGTTTCTACTTTTCCATGTAAGAATGTTAAAAAGTTAAAAAGTTACTTCTTTCTGCCCAACACCATTCCATTCCACAGACTGGTATTGAAAAGCCCCTGAGCTAGCTGGCCATGATGAATGGTGTTCCCAACCTCGAGGCTGTGCTTCCATTAATGACATCTCTGTGTATGGACTGGATGCATTTCTAGATTCTTCAGTGACTTCTGTATATTGGGAGTAAGGGGAGAGAAGGAACTAACACATTGAAAACACGCAGTATTTTTTTGTATTTTCATGATCTTCTGCATCATTTCATTAAATGCTTACAACATTCCTTCAAGGTACATATGACCTATATAACTAATGAGTAAGCTGAAATTCACAACAGATTTGTAGCTAGTAGATGGAAGAATAAATAATGAATTTTAAAATATTTATTCATCTTACTTGAAATTGTAAAAAAGTATCTAATTTTAGATATTTACACTTATTTACCACTTAGCAGCAGACTCTAAACATAATAAAGTTTAATTTTATTTTTAAGTGTTCTGCAATTTATGTTCTTTACAAAGTCTTTTTTTTTTTTTAAATGAGAGGTGGCTTTTTTTTCCCCCTTTTCTTTTCAGAGACAAAATCTCACTCTGTTGCCCAGGCTGGAGTGCAATGGCACAATCACAGCTCACTGTAACCTCGAACTCCTGGGCTCAAGCTATCCTCCCACCTCACCTCCCAAAGTGCTGGGATTAAGGCATAAACCACTGCACCCAGCCCTTTTTTCCTTCACAGCATACATATCATAACCTCTTTTCTCCTGTCACACATACATTTATTAGACAAACATTCATTATCAAAGTAGACACAAAAATAGTGCATAGGTCTATTCTGTGAGCTTGATGAAAGCCTCCACGCGCTCCCCTTAGGAGACCTCACTCCATTAGGATGGTCTGCAGATTCAGCACAGCCACTGCCACATTACAAGTCTGTGCAGTCAGTGATCCTCCTAATGTGATCAATTGCTGGATGTGGATCTGATTAAGGAGTAAGCCTCAGGTGCCCTATACAGACCTTGAGCCTTGCTGGGGTCTCATACCTTGTTCATGCAATGGAGAATACGGCTCAACTACCATGGCAGTTTATGTATCTCCAACATCTTTAATTTCTTTAATGAGACTGAATTTCTAGTATTCATTATGCTAATTAACAAGACCCTACTTTCACCAATAATTTTTAAAATTTGTTATATAATAATTAGCAAGCTGTGGATTGTTGATGTTGACCCAGGTAGTGGAAGTATTTGGGGAGCCTCTCCTGGAGGGTGGCTCCTTTTGTTGTAATGCTAGCTAACCACCCCAGGGCTGTGTATAAAGCATAGTGTTAGCTTGATCAATCTTAGAATTTAAATTAAAATTAACTGATGCTTACATAATATCACACTGAGTAGACTGGAATATTTTCCAGTATGTTACAGACTTCATGATGCTCACTCTCATGAGTACATTGGTACTAGTCAGACATTGTTTGTTTGTCAGGGGTGCAAAGTGGGAATGAATGGGTACTTCATCTTTGCTGTGCTGATCCCCATTGACTTTCACATTTTTTTTTATTCTGTAGTGCAGGGTTTTCTTACTATGATTTCTTGGAGTACAATGTTCTATCTCTTCACCTCCTTACTCTTAGGCTGGTAAATATCTATAGGAATGAATGGAATGGGGATGGTGAGCGGATCAGGTATATGTAATTTGAAATTTCTGAATGATTCTGATGCCACCCTTCACCCACCTCACTGCCTTAGGCTAGTTCTTCCTTTTGGCTCTATCATTCTTTTCACTTGTGAATTGCATTGCAAATATTTTATCAAAATGGTTTCTACAGTGCTGTCAATTTCCCAGGACCTCTTAGGCTGAGGAGGGAAGTGATGGGCTGTGTACCTTTCAGCACGTGTTGGGGAATGCCACTCTAAAACTCAGTGGCTTTAAACAGCCATCATTTATTCTTGCTCACACATCTGCATGTCAGTTGGGAGTTGGCTGGCTGGCTCTCCTTCCAGCTGTGAGAGAGCTGGGCTTGGCCCCTCATGCAGGGTTGGGCTCAGGTCTGCTCTCTGTATGTTCCTTCTGAGGCCAGGTTGGCAGGAGGCTCTTCCCATGGCAGTGATGGGGGTGCAGAAGGTGAGCACCACTGTGCAATCATAGCTTGTTTGCGATGGGTTTGCTAACATCCCTTCCAACAAAAGAAGTCACATAGATGAGCCCAAAGTCAAGGGGCAGGGAACTCTATATATGAAGATGGGGGAAGAGGAAGGGAATATATATGAATAACTTAATCTACTGTGGCCTGTGAATGAAGATAATGTATTTTGGAGCAGTTTTTAGTTTGCAAAGACTTCTCCTCACCCACATACATTATCCCATTCGGTCCTTATAATAGCCCATGAGGTGTGTGTTATATCTGTCTCCATTTTTAATGAGAAAATTAAGGCCTAGGGAAGTTAAAGACATTTGGTAAAGGATGTCCAGCCAATAGGCAGCACAGCTAGGCTCTTGTCTTCTTCCCCTACATTGTTGATATGGTTTGGCTCTGTGTCCCCACCCGAATCTCACCTTGAATTGTAATAATCCCATGTTTCGTGGGAGGGATCCCATAGGAGGTAATTGAATCATGGGAGCAGGTTTTTCCCATGCTGTTCTTGTGATAATGAATAAGTCTCATGAGATTTGATGGTTTTATAAAAGGGCAGTTCCCCTGCACACACCCTCTTGCCTGCTGCCGTGTAAGATGCGTCTTGCTTCCCCTTTGCCTTTCGCCATGATTGTGAGGCCTCCCCAGCCATGTGGAACTGGAAGAATTAAACCTCTTTCCTCTATAAATTACCCAGTCTTGGGTATGCCTTTATTAGCAGTGCGAGAACAGACTAATACAATTGTCTCACTCTTCATCTGACCTCCCATGAATCATAGAGATCATTGTACTTTGCTGCCATTGGAGAACATGAAAGTAGCTGGGTATTTCTCAATGTTATTTGTTGGTGGCATCCTAAGGAATCAAACACAACCAGAATGGTTCAGGCCAGTGCACCCCACACTTCAAGGCATGTAACAGTGAAGTTGAATAACCAAGGTAGCATTTACCACTTTAGGTTGTGTATAGCGTGTACTTAATTGACTCTCTAAATGTAAGCTTCTCATTAACAGGGCTTATGTCCGGTCACCAGTAATGTGTCTGATTCTATCAGATGTTTGTTCCCACCACACTTCTTTTGGGGTTTGTAATAGTTTTGTCTGTGGGTTTTTTTGTTTAGTTATCTTAGTTTGTCTGTCTGCTTTTATGGGCGAGTTTGGAGAAATTCAAAAGCAATCCCACACTGCCTTCATCTTCCCTGGATCCATGTACCTTATCATGTATGAGTCTTTTCCTAGCCCTCTAGAGAGACTGTCTACCACCTCATTTGTGCCTTGCTGTTCCCTGGACATCCTTATCTTATAATATCAGTGACACTTGCTGATTATGGGTAAGTCTCCTTCTGAGGGCAGGGGTTGTTTTTCACTTGTGTTTGGATCTCAAGTACCTAGTTAATTGTCTGGCATGTAGAGTTCCTCAGTAAGCATTTCTTACATGAAGGAATAAACAGACTTTTGCCGCAAATAGGTCCCACATCTGGAAGAGTAAACTTGTTACCCGGTGCAAATTGCCTAATAATAGCAACTGTATTACGTCTCCCATAGAGGACTGCTATTGCTAACATTTGTAGCTTGAAAGGATGTCCAAGAATTTACTTGGGGATCAGAGTAGGGCCCCTGAGATGTAGTGTCTTAAAAAGGGAAGGCTAGGTGGTTTTCTGTTAGCTATCCCTGGATGTTAACTTTAGATGCCACCTGGGAAGAGGAAGTTGCCTGAAATCTTAAAACTTTAAGCAGAGCACCCAGTGAGGGCATTTAACGGGAGTCATGGGGAAGATGCAGAGAGCAGGGACCAGGTGGCCATCCTAGCAGTGGTTTGCATGTTGCTGTTACCATAGCACCAGTGGGTGGTCCATCCTGTGGAGCAGTGGCATCTTTGATGATGAGCACCACCTCCACTACTGTGACATTGTGGGTGGTGTCATCTTGTTTGACAAATGCTACCTGCCTGTGATTAGGATCCAATGTTGTACTTGGCCCAGCTTAGCTTTGCTTAGTTGTTTGAGCTGGAGTTCAACACAGTAACAACTTTCCAACACAGCCCCTTTCAGATAATGCTGTTTGATTAGTGTTGGAGAACTTCTCTTAGTCTTTTTGGGCTGCTATAACAAAATACTATATGTGAGTGGCTTATCAATAACAGAAATTTATTTCTCACAGTACTGGAGGCTGGAAAGTCCAAGATCAAGATGCTAGCAGATTCAGTGACTGGTGATGAAGGCCCACTTCCCAATTCATAGATAGTGCCTTCTCACTGTAACCTTACATGGTAGAATGGGAAGGCAGCTCTCTGGGGCCTTTCTTATAAGGCACTGATCTCATTCATGAGGGCTCCATTCTCATGGCCTGATCGCCTTCCCAAAGCCCTACCTCCTAATAGCATTACATTGGTGATAAGGTTTTTAACATACATTTTGGAGGGACATAAACATTCAGACCATAGCAATCTTCCACTGAAAGCTCCACTTTAATAAGTCAATGATTTGGCACTGGGATCACAAAGAGTGGAAATCACAAAGATGGGAAACACCCCAGCAGTCACCTTTAATCTTCAACCTCACGGCATTTTCTTGTTGCTTCGCTGTCTGATGTCACAATGAGTATTCATTCTTCAGTGACTGGCACTGGGACTCCCTCACCTTTGTACCTTCAGCACCATTTCTGCTACACTGTAAGTGCTTAGTAAATGTTTCTATAATGAATGAGTTTGTTTTGAGGCTCTTGTTTTTTCTGAAAGGACACCAAACCACAGTGAGAAGAAAAGAGATCTGCCTAATAACAGACAGAACCTGTTTGGGAAAGATTCAGAATGAGGAACCTGGTTATAAGTTGAGTGTGTTTCCTAATGACACATCACATTATATCATGTCATATCACAGCACATCCTGTCATGTCATGCCATGAAGTGACATTTGCTAGTTGTTTAAGGCTGATTTACTCAGTTATGATGTGAGCAAACCAGGTCTCTAAAACTAAAAGCCCTGATTTGTAGCATTTGCCAGTTTCTGGGGTGTAAATACTCCCACCATGGCTGATTTCAGGCTACCCACCTGTATCAGTTTCCTACAGCTCTGTAACAAATTACCACCAACTTGGTGCCTTAAAACAACAAAAATGTATTCTCTTAGTTCTAGAGGCCAGAAGTCCAAAATCGGTTTCACGGGCTGAAATCAAGGGGTTAGCAAGACTGCACTCCCTCTGGAGACTCTATGGGGGAATTTGCTTCTTGCCTCTTCCAGCTTCTAGTGGTTCATGGCATTGCTTGGCTTGTGGCTACATCACTTCAATTTCTGACTCCATGGTTCCAGCACCTTCTCCTCTTCTGTGTGTGTCAAATCTTCTGCATTCCTCTCATAAGCATACATGTGACTACATTTAGGACCCACCTAGATAATCTTTCCATCTCAAGATGCTTAATTATACCTGAAAAATCCTTTTTTTGGTTGTTATATAAGTTAACATGCACAGGATCCAGGGATTAGGACATAGATACCGTTATTCAAGCAACCACATCTCTGTTTAACACCAGCTCACAAAATTTCTGGATATTTAGCAAATGGTCCTTACAAGCAGGCACATGGGGGCTCCAGCACACCATTGAATGTAAGCTTCTTGTAGGAGAAGACTGAGGCTACCAATTAATTGTATCCTCTACAATCCTTAGTCTGGTG